>NC_000013.11:87768130-88071160 GCF_000001405.40 Homo sapiens | reverse complement strand
TCCCTTCTGTAAAATGGCCAATACGAAGAGTGTTAATAAAGGACCTTCAACTCTCTAGCATTCAGTAAGCATTTTAATTAATTTTAACATTTTTATTATTTTGTTTTTATGTTAAATTTCTTCATTGACTTTTAAAATTACATCTGTCTACCTTTGTGATTTAAGTAAATATACAACATTTCCTTTTCTTGGTATCTTAAACTTCCTCTTTGACTACTTTTAAAATTCTACTTGATGCATTTAACTTTTTTTAAATGTCATTTATAAATTAACTTGGAAAAAAGACTGAAGTAGGCGTGATTTATAATTTGACCTTCCTTACTAATAAATGTGTTCACTTTATATTTTCTTCAACACTTGGGAAATAAAGCAGTATCTCCTCTAAGTTAAATTTCTACCAGAACTAGAAGATTTATTTGATGACTAATAAATAAAATACATTATATTATTATATTATGTAACATATCATAATTTCTTATTTATATTAATTATAAAATATTTATACGTGAGTATATAATATAGAGCCAGGCACAGTAGTGGATACCTATAGTCCTGGCTACGTGGGGAGGCTGAGGTGGGAGGCTTGTTTGAGTCCAGGAATTTGAGGCTATAGTGTGCAATGATTGCACCTATGAAGAGCCACAATATTCTAGCCTGAAATACACAGCAAGACTCTGTCTCTAATTCAGATAAAATTACTTATATATAATATATAAATATATTTAATAAATATACTAACCATAGATGTATAGTAAATATATATTTACTATAAATTTATATAGTATATTATATAATTGTATTACTGTATTTATAAGTAAATATAAATTGCTTGAAAGATTAAAGATATAAATAAATATAGACATAGGTATAGTTTACATATATTTCTTTCATCTAGGACTTTTTATTGTCATCTACATGGTCTTATATTTATTCTCATTATGGGGACCACTATGATGCTAATATAATTTGTAAAGCACATACTCACTTTATGGCTCTATTTTAGAAACCTAAATTTGGCCTTAATAATCCTGTTTCATACTAGGTAAGCAGAATAGCCTATAGTTGATCGAAATAAAGCAGGATTATATCTTTACCCATTCTTTCACTACATCAAAACAATAATATTTCTGTTACTTTTTTTTTTATCCAAAGGCTTTTATTTTCCTAATCTTTAAACCATCTTGCTTAGTCTGGTAACAACTCCATATTACTGAGGATTATAAAGATGTAGATAGTATGGACTTAAATATGAAGACACATTATCACAAGGAAGAACAATATATAAATACATGGATATCCAGTGATGACATGTATTAGTTCGTGCTGCTATAACAAAATATTATAGCCTGTGTGGTTTATAAACAACGGAAATTCTCTTGTCTGTAATAGTAGCACTTTGGGAGGCCAAGGTAGAAGGATTGCTTGAGGCCATAATTTCAAGACCAGCCTGGGAAAGACCCCATCTCTACAAAAATAAAAATAAAAACATTAGCCGGGTGTGGTGGCACATGCCTGTAGTCCCAGCTACTCGAGAGGCTGAGGCAGGAGGATCACTTGAGCCCAGGAGTTCGAGGCTGCAGCCTAGGAGACAGTGAAAACCAGGTTTGTTTTTTCATTCTGTTGCCCAGGCTGGAGCACAATGGCGCGATCTCTGTCACTTCCTCCGCCCAGGTTCAAGTTATTCTCCTGCCTCCAGCTGTCTCACAAATAGCTGGGGTTACAGGTGCCCGCCACCATGCCTGGTTAATTTTTGTATTTTTAGTAGAGATGGGGTTTCTCCATGTTGGCCAGGCTGGTTTCGAACTCCGGACATCAAGTGATCCGCCCACCTCGGCCTCCCAAAGTGCTGGGATTACAGGAGTGAGCCACTGCCCTCGCCCCAGAATTGTATTTCCTGTAGTTCTGGTAGCCAGGTTGCCAGCATGATCAGGTTCTGGTGAGGACTCCCTTCTGGGTTGCAGAGAGTCACCTCCTCACACTGCGCCCTCAGGTGGCGGAGAGAGTACTTGTTAGCTCTCTCCTTAAACGGGCACTAATTCCGTTCATGAGGGCTTTCATCCTCCTGACCTAATTATCTCTCAACGGCTTCACCTCCAAAAATTTTCCTACTGAAATTAGGGTTTCAATGTATAAATTGTGGGGGGAGCCAGGAACATTTGGTCCATAGCATGCCGAGTACCTGGAAAATATGGAAACGCATGTAAAAAGAAAGTTTTCTGCCTGGTGCAGGTGGAATGATTGTATCCACAAAAGCTACAAGAGTTTACATTTGAGCTGTATCTAGAAGAATGGGAGGATTTTCTAAAGATAAGTCATCAAGTGTTGAACAAAGTTATCTTGGATGGGAAAAAAAAAACATGTGTATCGATACAGAGCTTTACAAATATATTGAGGACAACTGGGACGATGATAGTGCCCAGTGTTTCCCAATCTTCTTTTCATTATCACTCTTCTCCCTACCAGGATCCCTTTTAGATGCTTTTACAAAATCACCACCATTCTCTCATGAAATTCAATTTTGACGATGAAGAGCTTGTCCTACAGTGTTAAACTGTGGAGACCCAAACTGTTGCAATTCTAAAGAATATTTCCCCCCTCAAGAGCCAATTGTAGCCACATTGTGGACAATATCATCCTTGTGAGAATGCATGACTCAGTCTAGTAAGATTTTAACCATGTAGGATTCTTGAGAAGGAATGAAGACTGAGGAGATTAGAGAAGTAAAAGTATCCAGATGTTGTGAAAACTGAGTTATTTTAAGGGTTTTGGGTCTCTGTGGGTGAAGACTCAGTGTTAGAAGTGGAGGTGTTTTCAGGAAATAGTAACTTAGTTTAAAAACATAGGAAGGCAGAAGCTCAAGATAGGGGGAAAAGTGTGAGAAGGCACCTTTACTATACTATGGAAGATATGACTGTAAGAGGGTAATATAAATTAATTTTTAGGCAGGGAAGAATGCTTTTGAATTGTTCACATTAATCTTACATTCTAGCTGTATAAATTCACACAGGATGTATATATATAGGTAATGATAATGCTGATGTGTTTATTTTCAAGATTTTCAAGGACTGTGTGGAATAGGATGCTCATATGGGCTGCCACATCGTAAACAAGCTGGATTATTCCTCCTTGCCAGTTTAAAACAACCCACTGGGTTTTCAGGGAACACAGTCAAATCTTAGGAAACAAAAAAAAGTACATTTCTCTCCATGTGTGCATTCATGAATACTTACAGTTTTATTCCACTGTCTTGATTCAGGTCATATAAATATAATTTAATTTTTAGCTTTTACCCTAAAATCATGAGAATTATTTGCATGTCAATCATTTTATAATCGTAAAATATATCAGAAATAGATTTAGCAAAAAATCATAAACATTTATTTTTCTCATTGTAGTAGCAATTACTTTCTGATCCTCTATTTTATAATGGCATTATGGTAGATTTTGATTTCGAGGCACATTTCCAGACTTTGTCAGTTCCTGATATTAATGAACAACTCATTGCACATGCTTTAGCATATTCTGAAATAACAATGTACTGAAGATAATGACTTAGATTGCATGTGTTTCCTTTTCACTAGACAATTTTAGATTTTGAAAGTTCTGAAAATGCAGCAGAAGTACTTGGATCCACTTGGGACAAAACCATACCTGGGGCTAGTTTGTACCCATTACTAGAGGCCAAGGCTATACAAATAAACAATGCTTGGGGCTGGACCAATGTGACATTTTTAGGGTGCAACGATGATGAATGCATATTGTTTCAGTCAGGAGACAGAGATGCTCTCTAATCATTTTTTTTTCTTAGCTTAAAAAACTAAAGATGAAATTTGCTGAGGAATATGGGGAACGTGGGGGAGAAACCTCAAGAACTTTCTCTTTTTACTATCAGATCTCATTCGATTCTAATAGTGGGGAGCAATTAGCCACAAAGAAAAACATAAAAGGGTGGTAATGACAGTTGAAAAGAGCAGCAACAATTAAAATTATACATATGCAATAACTGTGTGTGTGCATGAATGGTTGTGTGTGTGTGTGTGTGCGTGTGCACCTATGTGAGAGATAGAAAAAGAGTAATATGCTTATAGGTACTAATTGCATTATTGCACACGTATGCATATTTTATAATTAATTGTCAATCTCCAATGGGGTGGAGTGGGTAAAACAACCTGGTATCTATATTTTATTTCAGGAATATGACTGTTATTTCATAATAGAAGATTTATTTCTTACATAATTTTACAAGAACATTTAGTGTTCATAACAAATTCTTAGTGAAGCCTGTCAGTTTGATTTAAATTGGAGCTAATGGAAGTTCTGTGTTTGTTACATAAGGTAGCGATTGTTATTGTAGCAGGTTTCTGTCAAGAATTTATCCTTTTAAGTTTTAACAATTATTTTTCTACATAGTGGTCATTTATTCATTTCCTGCCACTAGTTTAATATTTCTAAAAGAAATCTCAAAACTATACATATTAATAATTTCAAATCAGTTACTACTAAACCTATTAGAGTAAAAGCATATATCATCTATTGTAATTAATTAATTATAGCAGATATAGAAATATTTTGCTGTAGTCCTGTCCCCTTTGGTCCTCCTTTCTGGTCTAGTTTGCTGTTAATGCTTTCTCTATTTTTCCTTTCTGCCTTGCTTCTCCACTTGCATCTATTTATCATTCTTTTGCATCATCCTCTCGCCTCTTCAGTATTCACTACTATGCTTCTTTCCTTTTTCTTCTCTTCATTATGTTGTTATTTCTTGCTTCGTGTACATTTTCTATTCCTTATACTTTTCTTCCACTTCTATATCACTTTTATTCAACACTGTCCACACTTCCTTCTCCATTCTTGCTGCTATTCCCTCATAAAATGGAAAGACCTTAGGCAAAGACAATGACTTTTAAAATTTGTATTTCCCATACTTTGCAAAATGTTTGGGGCATACATATCGATAAGTATTGACTAACATTTTCTAATAAGGTATTGCTTAATTTGGAGTAGAAAGTTTTAATATCTAATTCATGCCAGAACTGTGCAAGATACTAAAGATAATACAATAAATTAGAACTCTTTCTTTTTTATAAGAAATTTATTATCATAAAACTGTAACATCATTTTGCTAACCACAAATATATTCACTGTATATCATATCTCCATAGTTTGAATACAGTCCTTCTGCAAGATTTATTCATGACAAATTCATGTCTCCCTAGTTCAATTCAGCTGTTCTCTGAAATTTAATTCAGAAAAAAAATTGGTTAGAATCTTGGCCTCTGATACATTCTTCTATCAAAAATATCAACCCCAATACTAGTAAATGCTACTTTTTATATCTGCATTTTGACTTCTTACTTGCTGAGTGTCATTACTATCAATCACAGAGCTGTGTTCTGCATATAGCAGTCTTGCTAAAGATTACTTCGTTTGGGGGTTTATGTGCCAAATAGGATTCATCCCCTACAAGGGTTCTCAAACAAGAGCATATCAAGATAAAGAACAATAATTTTAGACCAACAGCAAAGCTGAAGTAAAAGCTTGATTGAAAAATATGCCTTAGGGTAATTTACACCTGTAATCCCACCATTTTGGAAAGTGGAGTGGGCAGATTGCTTGAGCCGAAGAGTTCGAGACTAGCCTTGGCAAATGGTGAACCCCATCTCTGCAAAAAATGCAAAAAATAGTCAGCGGTGGTGACACACGCCTGTGGTCCCAGCTACTTGGGAGGCGGAGGTGAGAGGATTACTTGAGCCCAGAAAATTGAGGCTTCAGTGAGTCATAATCCACCACTGCACTCCAGCCTGGACAATGGAGTAAAACCCTGTCTCAAAAACGAAAAAGTAAAATTTGCCTTAGTTGAAGCTTGCAGTGAGCCAAGATCTTCCCACTGCACTCCAGCCTGGGCGACAGGGCGAGACTGTTTCTCAAAAACAAACAAACAAACAAAAAAAACAAAACAAAACAAAACAAAAAAACCTTGGTAACAAAGTTAACACTAATATCCTACCTCGTATTGCAAAATGTAGACCTTTGAACTCGCACATCCAGTTTTATCTGAAAAAAAGAAGATAGCCATTTCTAGATCTTCATAGAAGTCCTCAACCCTCATCCAGTTACTCAATAACAACAACAACAACAACAACAAAGAACAACCAAAAACCACAAATAAAATAATACGGTGAAAGTCAAGATGTGAGCAAGCTCATGGTCACACTTCCTCTGCATGACAAATACTGGAGTACCATAATAGATAAAATCAGTCGTCTCTGGATTAGCTTTTTTATAGATTTCAAGAATGGCATCTGAAAAAGGAATTAATCCAAACATAACATATCCCAGAGAGGATATTTTAAAATCTGCATTCCAGAAGCTATAACTGCCTGCTAAAACCAGAAGCTGTAACCAAGCCTACACAAATCAAGGGGAATTTGGCAGAAAAAAATATGTACTCTTTATGAACTTGACCTAGACATTGAGATATGACATGCATAGGGACTTATTGGAAATTTGAGTTAATCAGTAAGCTCATGGTATTTACTTGGTGGTATCAAGCAGGTTATATTCCAGCAAGACATCAGTGATTCAGTATCAAGGGGAGGAAATTGCTGGAGTTAAATAGAAAAAAATAACGGAGACTAGTGAGGTTGATGACTCTTAGAATTGTAGAAACACAGAATTATGAGGATGTACTCTCTGATAACAGTGAGAAACTATCGAAGATTTCCATGACAAGATCTGTTTAAGGTTCTAGTTAGAAGACAAAATGATGCAAGGGACTCATTATCCAAATAGAAACATAGAGAACCAGAAGAAAGAAGAAACCTAGTTTTATAAAAAAAAATTGAAACTTGAGGTCAGCAAGTAGGTATCAGGATAAAAAAGATGAAGTGGGATGCACAATCATAACTGTGATAATAATTTTAATAATGTTAAAAATACTGAATTAGAATTATGAAAACCACCATGCTTAAGGTTATCATAAGCCAAAGAAATGAAATTTAACTACTTATACATAGTAGCTAAATAGTGTTCTTGTTGTGCAGAAAAGCCAAACTATAAAGGATTAATTCTGTCTTGAACAAGATAATCCTCTGTTCTTTCCACAAGCCTACTGTATAACATCTCTAGGGATCTACTGTCCATCAGATTCCTTCCCCATATGTTCCCTAGAGTGTAGGAGTATGTTTGATGTGGTTACCCGGGTGATTTTATTATTCATGTGGCCTATTTATTCATGTGGTCTATTGCCACATGAATCATCACACCTGCTTTAAATGCACTGCTACAATTTAAATGACCATGGTAGGAATGACACCTTCAGCTATTGTTTTTCTGTCACAACAGTCTGCTTTAACTTCCCTATATTGTATCTTTCAGTCTTCTGGTCATCCACCCAAATCTACCCAAATTTTACTATATCATCTGTTGCCTTCTTGACTGCTTTCTACACTCCACATCCAGCTATTGTCTGTCACCATATTTTCTGGGTGTCATATTTCAATGCTCATCGAGCTATTCAAATATTTTTTATTTCTGGTTCCACTTCCACATGGACCTTATTTTGGATTATATTATGACCTCACAAAAAGGAGTCACGAATGAAAACACAATATATTTTCTATTTAATAAAAGATTAATTTCTCAGAAAAAGTACATTTTCCTGGTTATCAGTTTTGAGTATTGGATTATGCTATATATAATATATATATTTATATGTGTTATGTATTACAGTTGACCCTTGAACAATGTGGGTATTAAGGGTGCTGATCTCCCACAAAGGCAAAAATCTGTGTATAATTTTTGACTCCTGAAAAACTTAACTAATAACCTACTGTTTACCAGAAGCCTTACCAATAACATAAACATTTGATTAACATATCTTTTAAATGTTATATGCATTATACACTGTATTCGAACAGTAAATTGAGCTAAAGAAAATAAAACCATTAATAAAATTATAAGGAATATAAATTTACTATTTATTAAGTGGAAGTAGGTCGTCATAATTTCTTAATTCTTATCATCTTAACATTGAGTAGGCTGAGGTGGAGGAAGTGGAGTGGCTGGTCTTGCTATCTCATGGGTAGGAAAGGCAGATTTTTGGAGGAGATAGAAGGGAAGTCAGAAGAAGTAGGCATAGTCGACCCAACTTTATTAAAATACATTATAATTTCTGACTTTTTTGCTTTTTAATTTCTCTAAAAATGTTCCTATGTGGTAAAAATCTTTCTTCCACCACGTGCTTTAGTTTCAGTGCCATATCAAAGAAGGCTCCTTGTAATAAGAGAAGTCAAAAGCAGTCTTGTATAATTGGAAACCTTTTGACAGACTCTCAAAAGTCAACTTGTTTTCTGGCATTGCTTCTTTTACATCTTCCTATCATCATCATCTGGCACTAGTTTGGAAACACTCATCTCTATCAAGTAATCTTCTGTTAATTCCTTTTGTGTAGTGTCTGTTAACTCTTGAATTTCTCCAAGTATCCTATCTTGAAATCCTCCATTCTTCACCTTTTTTGCTATATCCACAATCTCTTTTATTATGTCCTAGATTGGCTCTGTCAGAAATCCTGTGATGTCGTGCACAGTTTTCTGGATGCAGTTTTCTCCAGCAGCAATTTGTTGTTTCAAGCTTGATGGCTTTCATTGCTTTTCTGTAACAATGATTCCAAATTTAACAGTGTAATCCTTCCAGATGTTCTATCAGGGTTCTCTTCCATAGAGTTGAAAATTATTTCCATAAAGCATCATGCGTAATGAGCCTTAAAGGTCCTTATGACCCCTGATAGGGCACTTTCATCTGCGTTAAAAACCTGTTCAGGCAGATACCTCTTCTTTTCAATGATTTCTTTTATGGTATCTGGGAACTCATCTGCTGCCTTTTGGTTGATAGAAACTGCTTCTCCTATTACCTTGACATTTTTAGGCCAAACCCTTTTTTCTAAAATTATCAAACCATCCTTTGCTGGCAATAAATTATCCAGCTTTGATACTTCATCTTCCTTTTGATTTAAGTTCCATATAATGGTTTAGTTTTCTTCTTGAATGATATTACAATCCATTGGTATGTTTTCCTTAAAACAATCCTATGCTAATATAAGAGTGTCATTTTTCTATACTATCTTAAGTGTATGAGATAAAAAATGTATTTCATGAAAAGTGCAAAGTTTCTGTCCCTGCTAACATAGCTGCAGCATTTTTTTTTTTCTTACATTGACAATGGTGCTTACACTAGTTTCATTTATTTGAAATGATGGACAACTGCAGCTGCAGACCTCAATCTTTGGAAGGTACCAAGCAATTCAACTTTTTCTTGTAATGCCATGGCTTTTCTATGCTTCTTTGGAGCACTTCCAGCATCAAAGGTGGCACTGCCTATAGGTCCCCTGTGTTATTTAAGGTCTATGATATTGCACTAAGCACAGTGAAAAATAACATGAGAACTGTGAGAGAATACCTTTTACTTGAATACACAATTTATTGAAGAGATGAACTGTTCACCTGAAGATGATTAGATCCACACTATGTTGTTAGTGGATGCTTGCAACACAAACTCATAAAAATAGCAACAGAAGGTGGCTACAAAATCATTACAGTAGGACAGAATGTACTATACTTTTATGCCATTATGTTTTAATATTGGATCTTTATGTTTGTTTTCACTTCTCTTCCTTGTGAATGGTGCCATGTATGGTCTGTAAGTTTCGTATAAATTTTGACTTTTTATAATAAGTTTGTGTGTATTTCATGGTAGTAAAGAATAAAATTGACTAGTATCTACATATATTTTATGTATTCATGACCTACCTAACTTTTCCTAAACTGTATTGATAAATTATATTTTGTGCAGTTTGTCTGAAATTTTTTTCAAAATGTTGCAAGTTTTCAAAATATTGTCCAATATATTTATTGAAAAAAAAATCTATGTATAAGTGAAACTGTGCAGCTCAAACTCATGTTATTCAAGGGTCAACAGTATTTATATATTGTGTATTTACAATATATGTGTTTACATACATAAAATAATCAGAAATATAAATATAATATCAGCATGCTTAATTTTTACTGACATTGAAAATCCTATTTCTAATCTTTCAAGCTACTTGTGAGGGAAGTAAATTTAAGATTAAGTTAAATATTTTAAACCTCATATGGCAAAGCAAGATTTTTATTCCACCTCATCTTTTTTTCTGTTTCTGCTTGACTTTGAGAGGTGTAAAGACAAAGACTCCGAGAGCATGATTCGTCAATTTTGCTATCAGTGTGCTCAACATTTAAAATATTATATATATATATTTTATATATAGCAAGGACATTAGATTGTATACATGATAAACATTTATTTATTTTTAAAAGCTCTACCTTAAAGAACCTCGAAGTTGAAATGGCACAGAGTGGGGCTTAGTGGAAAACTGCTGTCAGTGCTCCAAGATGAAACCAAAATGGTGAAGTCCTCCAAAATGAATCAGAATAATAACTGCTGTCAGTCTTCCAACCTGAAGTCAAAATGGTGATGAAGATTACAAGGCCCTCAAATTATTGAAGTTAGGAGTCTGGGTCAGGGCAGAGAAGATAAAATACTAAAGCAAAGAAGACAGAAGAAGAAAATGGAAGAGGGGGCTCTGGCCTGGCATAACCATCAAAGCTGGACAAATAGCATTTCATGGGGAAAGACAAGTATTGTTCTCACCCTTTTCTGGAGTCTGGGAACATTGTGACCTTTTAATAGTAAGAATGTATTTTTTCCAATAATGGGTTTTATCTCTACACTCACTCAGACTATGCTGGCTTAACTACAGACTCAGGGATTTTTGCATAATTGAAACCAAAGTTCAAATTAAATTTAGTGTAACAGCTATGTGCATAAGGGATGTAATAATGATCCAAGAATCTTATAAGAATATTCTCAGCATATTCAGGCTGAAAATGCAAGCAAAGCTGTGACCCTTACTTTTTTATGTTGAGTAAACAACATTGCCTTCAGTGCCTGGGAAGGTTTACAACTATAGATCAAAGCACAAAGAACACTGTGATGAATGTGAGGCACTTGTGAATTTCTACTATTAATACAAATTCAAAGAAAAATAAATAAAGACAGTATCTAAAATCATCTTCCCAGTGCCAGTCTTAAAATTTTCAATACAAATATGTATCCTTTTATAGAACGTTGTCTACCTGAAAAGTCCTGTAACTTTTTACATTCAAAGGAATTGTACCATGTATTATACTTGAGAGACATTATTGAAATTCCAAAGTGAATTACTATGCAAAGTGAATAATTTTATTTTAAAGTAAATATTCACTTGAACTTAGTTAACATTTTTAAAGTTAATTTTTGCATACTAAACATGCTTTAAAAAGGGGAACAGATTTCAAGTTTTAGGAAAGATGTAATAGACATGCTTCTCAGTATTCTTCATGCTATGTACAGCTAAAATTGTAAAACACAACATAAAAACTTGGAGAGGAGAAGGCAGACCAGCTATAGACCTTGCACCAGAAGAATTACATGAAGTGAGTTCCAGTGGGGTTTCTTTTTAGTTCATTTTAACTGGACTGGATACCGGGGAAACTTACAACCTAGAAACAGCAAAGGGTCACACCAAGAAAAAAGAAAAGCTTATCCTCACTAGATAAAGAGCCAGAAAAGGAAGATCCTAGCAAGAGGTGAAATTTTTCAATAATGATACTGCTCTACTCCTACCCTAGCCATGAGAAAAACCTGTGTCTCCATCTATACACACATCAGCAAAGGCTGAGTGGAAAGTGAATACTTCCATCTTTGCCTGACTATAAGAGGTGCCTGTCTCATTCCTTCCTCAGATAGTGTGAGAAGGGGGTTATTGGAAAACTAGAAATTTCACCAACACCAAAAAATAACATCTCCTACCCCACCCCCAACCTTGTAGTGTCTTCAGAGGCACTTGGTTCTTGGACTTCTACCACCACCTGGAGTTAATGAGAAAATTCCGCTGCCGTCTGTGGTGGTGGTGCAGGGAGGTTAGTGGAAAGGTGGGACTTTCACCCTCTTCAGTGAATGAAGGGGACACGGGGCCTCTGTATTGTTTTTCTGCAACTTCTTATGCATGTGTAATTACTTAGAAATGAAAAGCTTAAATACTAAAAGAAACACAAAGAAGAAGAAAACACATTTAATGGTTGCTCAAATTTGATTTCAAATAATCTATTTCCCTTACAAACACATAGACCAGTAGAATGTAATAGAGACCACAGAAATGAATCCAAACTTATATGGTCAAGTAACTTTTGAAAAGAGCAATAAGAGGTTACAGTAGGTAAAAAATAGTCTCTTCAATACATGGTTCTGGGAAAACTGGATTTCCACCTGGAAACAAGTAAAATTGGACCCATTTATTATACAAACACAAAAAAAGCTAAAATGGACAAAAGATCTAAATGTAAAACCCGAAATCATAAAACGTTTATATGAGAACACAGAGAAAAATTCCTTGTCAGCAGCCTTGGCAATGATTTTCTTTTTATTTTGATAGCATACCAAAAGCTCAGGCTACATAAACGTATTAGTCCGTTCTCACGCTGCTATGAAGGAATACCCGAGACTGTAATTTATAACAGAAAGAGTTTTAATTGACTCAAAGTTCTTCAGGGCTAGGGAGACCTCAGGAAATTTACAATAATGGTGGAAGGGGAAGCAAACACGTCCTCCTTCACGTGGCAGCAGGAGAAAGATGTGCTGAGCAAAGGGGGAAAAGCCCCTCATAAAACGAACAGATCTCATGAGAACTCACCCACTATCGTAAAAACAGCATGGGGCATGTTCTCACTCATAGGTGGGAATTGAATGAGAACACCTGGACACAGGAAGGGGAACATCACACACCAGGGCCTGTCGTGGGGTGGGGAGAGGGGGGAGGGATAGCATTAGGAGATATACCTAATGTAAATGACAAGTTAATGGGTGCACCAAACCAACATGGCACATGTATACATACGTAACAAACCTGCACATTGTGCACATGTACCCTAGAACCTAAAGTATAATAAAATAAAAAAAAAAGAAAGAAATGATAGTGTTGGAAAAAAAACCAACAGCATGGGGGTAACCACCCCCATGATTCAATTACCTCCCACCAGGTCCCTGCCATAATATGTGGGGATTATGGGAACTGCAATTCAAGATGGAATTTGGGATTTGGGTGGGGATACAGCCAAACCATACCAATAAGCAATGCTATAAAAAATAAAACACCAAACTAAAAAAGTTACTTCAAAGCAAAAGAAACAACAAAATAAAATGGAAGCTAGGGATTTGGAAAATATTTGTAAACCACATATCTGAAAAAGGGTTAATACCTAAAATTTATAAAGAATTTGTACAACTCAGAAAGACAAATAACTAATTAACAAATGGGCAAAGACCCTAAAGAGACATTTCTCCAGAGAAGATACAAAAATGGCCAACAAGTATATAAAAAGTTGCTCGATATCATTAATCATCAGGGAAATGCATTCAAAACAAAGATGTGATATCACCTCATAATCTTTAGGATCAAAATATCAAGAAATAACGAACATTGGCAAAGATAAGGGGGAAAAGGGACCCTTTGTATACTGTTGGTGGGAATGCAAATTATTATAGACATAATGGAAAGCAGAATGGAAGTTTTTTTTTTTAAATTTTAAAATAGGACTATCATATCATTCCACCCCACTACTGGGTATATATCCAAAAAAAACGCTATCAGTATATCAAAAGATATTTGCACTCCCATGTTAGTTGCAACATTATTCACACTAGCTATGATATAGAATCAACATAATTGTTCATTAATAAATGAATAAATAAAATATGGTATATTTTATCAATGGAATATGATTCAACCTTTTTAAAAAAGAGGAAACGTCATTTGTGACACATAGTGAACCTGAAAGACATTATGTTAAGTTAAATAAACCAGGCACAGAAAGACAAAGACCACATGGTATCATTTATATTTGGAATCTAAAAAAGTTGAACTCATAGAATTAGACAATAGAATGATGGTGCCCAGGGGCTGCGGATGGGGGCGCGGATAGGTGTTGGTGTGATGTTAATCAAAGGATACAAAATTTCAGTTAGCTAGAAGGAATAAGTTCAAGAGATGTTTTGTACAACATGGGTCTATAGTTAATAACAATGCCTTGAGTTCTTGAAAATTGCTAAGAAAAGAGATTTTAAGTGTTCTTGCTACCAAAAAGTATATGAGGTAATGTATATGTTAATTGGCTATATGTAGCAATTTTGTAATGTAAACATACTACAAAACATGTTGTATATGATATATATAATTTAGTCAATTAAAAAATAATAGATGTTTATAAATAAATAAGAAAAAGAATAAATCACATAAAATATATTAAACATTGCAATGTTTGGAATTACGATAGCTGCCTCACTACATATATTAATCTCCTCCTTTCTAAGAGACCACATTAAATTGATTTCAAAAGAACATAGGCAATTTAAACCAAGCACATTTATAAAACTAGGACAATTAGTAGCAGGGAGATAACAATACATTTCTGGAAGATAGAAGGCAGATGGAAAGGTGGTAACTGATAATTCAGAAAAAAGTACCACAGCCTAAGTTTCTTACGGTATCTCAACATGTGAGATAAAAGCGTTTCTGTGCTTTAAACACCCAAAATTCCCAGGTCTCAAAAATTCTGAGATAAGTATTTGGGAAATGTGTCTTGGTGTCTTGGTGTCATTTGCAGAATAATGTGTCATTTGCAGACCCATGTGTCTTGGTGTCATTTGCAGAATAATGGCCCCTCAAAAAGTTCCATATTCTAATGCTTGAAACCTACTAATATGTTACATTAAATGGCAAAGAGGAAATAAGGATATATAGATGAAATTAAAGTTGCTAATCAGCTGACCTTAGCATGATTATATTCAGTCCAATGTAATCACAAGAGAACATAAAGGTGGAAGAGAGGACCAGAGATATGGCAGTATGAGAAGGATATGGCCCAAAGCAACAGATTTTTGAAATGGAGAAAGGGGCCACAAGCAAAGGAAAATATGTGGACTCCAGAAGCTGGAAGAGGCAGGGACCAAATTCTCCTTTCCAAGAATCTTCAGAACGAAATGCACCCTACTGACACCTTAAATCTACGTGGGGCTTCTGATCCACAGAATTCTAAGGTAATAAATTTGTGTTGCGCTAAGACACTATATTTGTGGCCATTTTTTATGGCTGCATTAAAAAATGAACACACTCGATTTTAAGAATTTTATAACAATATCATATATATTACACTTAAGTTGTATATGATATTATTTGTATAGTTTATGTTGGCATAATATAATTTTAATGTAGAAGATGTATGATATATGGATAAAATATTATCAACTACATTAAGATGGTAATAACAAGTAATTTATTTTTCCCCAAAATACGTTTTTCCCCAAAATTGTAGCAGCTTATGATTAAGAGGTAGATGAATACATGTTGCCCTAAACTTTCTAAAATATGCTAAAATAACTATTTTTCTCATTCGATAAAACATTTTATTAAAAATGAATACACTGCTAATCTCTGTGCACTGTGTAATATGTAATGCTGGTGTGGTAAATTAAGAAATATAACCAGTGAATCAGAAATCATATGTTTTGAGGATTGCAGATATTAACAAAACAACAAGAAAATTCATAAAATACTGTATGTCATCTTGAATACTCTTCTTCATGCAAATAACTGTTAGGACTTTTAAATCAACATTTTATTAATGTAATCTCAATCGTTGTGCTTTAAGCATGGTGTTTGAAAAGTACATATTTATATGAAACTACTTTGGGACTGACTGATTTATTCTTTCCAAAACCATTTGGTTAGAAGCCCTCCTTTCCTTTCTATCTCCCCTCCTTCTTTTTTCAATTTTATTTTTCTTTTATTTTTGTATACACAAGTACTTAAATTAAGTGCTAATGATTGATAAACAAAAGCGCACATAGTTATTGAAGAACCTTGCCATCCAATATAAAAACATGTTATATAAGATATTCAGAATTGTTGAAAATACTGGGAATGAGAAATTATTATACCAATATTAATAAATATAAAAAATAACACAAGCTTATGGCATCAAATCCATACTGCAAACGAATATAAGACAAACAGTAAAAAGTCACCCCTTCTTCCACTTTTAATATTCATTCTCTAAGAAAAAAATGGTGTTAACTATGTAAAATACCAGGTGTTATCAGAGAATCCCATTTCTAAGTACATAGCCACTGAAACTTTTATTTCTTGAATTATCCAAGTGAAACAACTCCCACTGACTTCCCATAGTCACTGTGAGAGAGAAAGAATGCAACACGTTTTCCCTCTCACAATGCTTTGAGTATAATAAGGAATAGCACTATTTTGGTCTTCAAGACCCTGGTATCGTAGATTTGCGGTTTGTTGTAATGGCAGTTAAGTTTATTGTGTCCTTAGCGTAAGATAGCTGCATGTCTAAGAATAATTAATTCTTTTGATCCAGGAGCATGGTATGCCTTTCTATTTGTTTGCTTCCTCTTCAGTTTAATATCATTAAAATGGACATACTGCAAAAAGCAATCTACAGATTCAATGCCATCCCTGTCAAAACACCAATTTTTTTTACAGAAATAGAAAAAAATTCTAAAATTTGCATGTAACCAAAAAAGAGCCTGGCTAACCAAAGAAATACTGAGCAAAAACAGCAAAGCTGGAAGCACTGCACTGCCTGACTTCAAAGTATATTACAAAGCCATAGGGAATAAAACAGTATTGGTATAAAAACAGACACATACACCAATGGAACAAAATAGAGAATTTAGAAATAAACCCATATATTTACAGCCAACTGATCTTTGGCAAAGCTGTCAAGAATAAACACTGGGGAAAGGATACCTTCTTCAATAAATGGTTCTGGGAAAACTGGATAACCAGAAGAAGAATGAAACTGGACCTCTATCTCTCACCATATAGAAAAATCAATTCAAGATGAATATAGGCTGAAAACTGCTAAAATATTAGAAGAAAACATAAGGAAAATTATTCAGACACTAGTCTAGGCAAAGGTTTTATGACTAAGGCCTCAAAATCACAGGCCACAAAAATAGACAAATAGTACTATATTAAAATCAAATGCTTCTGCAAAGCAAATGAAATAATCAACAGAGTGATGAGGCACTATTTTGAATGGGAGAAAATATTTACAAACTATTTATTCGGCAGGGGATTAATATTGTAAGTGAACGTGTGTCATGGGGGTTTGTTGTACAGATTATTTCATCACTAGGTATTAAGCCTAGTACTCATTAATTATTTTTCCTGATCCTCTCCCTCCCCCTACCCTTCATCCTCCAAAAGGCCCCAGTGTGTGTTGTTCCGCTTAGTGTGACCATGTGTTCTCATCATTTAGCTCCTAAAATACTGCATTTTTTTCTCACTTATGAACAAAATTTGCTAATAATGGCCTCCAGCTACATCCATAACCCTGCAAAGGACATGATCTCATGTATTTCATAGCTGCATAGTATTCCATGTATATGTGTACCATATTTTCTTTATTCAGTTTACCACTGATGGGTAGACTAGAGATCTAGAGAGAGAGAGAGAGAGGTTGGTCTTACGAAATACAGTCTGCTAGAAGTTTGTCAGTCTAAATTTAAAATACGTGTCATACTTTGGTTCTTAAAATAAATGACCCCATAGTTTAATAAGCAATAGGTATTTTAAAGGAAGTCTTGGCATAAACTTGTAAGATATTTTTAAATGTTATGAGGATTAAGCAACAGGTGTGCTTCACTAAACACTAACATTTGTATATATGCTGATTTATATACAAAATTTATGAGCTTTTCACTAAATAGAATCTAAATATAAAATATTTAGAATCTAAATATAAAATATTTAATCTCCTTGAAGATTCAAGGTAAACTTAAATATTGCCAATGTATTTTGCAGTAGAACTCTTTGGAAATATGTTTATACTTGTCACAAGTTAATTTCTAATTTCGTACACTTGAGATAATGGCATTTATCTATAGTGAAGTATATAGGAGATTTTCCAGTACTTTCTGCTTATAATAAAGGACACTGTAGTTACTTCTTCTTAAAATCATACTGAGTAATCAAACATGTTTGTGGTTCAGAAGCATGTATAATATACAGAACAAACATCAATAATATGAGTGAATTGTTCCCAATGAAAAGAATTCTATTGTACAACCTGTTAACATTCTTTCAACAGAACATGTAACACTGTTAGAATGATAGCCGCAGGAGGCAGCCACATTCCTAGGCAAATAGCGGAGGGTCCCCAGTAAAACCCCACTTACGAGTCAAAGACAGTTTAAAAGCCAAGCTATAAGTCTCAAAAAAAATCCATAAGCAGGATTGAGAACCCTTCTTCCTGTTTGACATGCTTTCCTCTGATTGGTCCCCACACTTCACCTATTTTACATATACCTACCCTTCCCTAGTTGTTGTTTTTTTTTTACACTGCCATGCCCACCTTTGAGTGGTGCCTTTGATTTAGCTTTTTTTTTTGTTTGCATACTCACAAAGCAATCAGCATGCACTCCCCCATTCTGAGGCCATAAGAGTCCCAGACCCAGCCATGCTGAGAGAGTGACCACCCAACTTAAGATAGGGGACCACCCTCACATCTCTCTCCTGAGAGCTGTTCCATTGCTTAATAAAATTCTTTTCTGCACCTCTCAACCTTCAGTTGTCAGCATAAGCTCATTCTTCTTGGATGTGGGACAAGAACTCGGGATGCTGCCAAATGCAGGTACAAAAAAGGCAGTAACACTTTATTTAGCCATCTGACCCCTGTTGGCACCTGGTGGCCACCCATGCAATAGGAAGCAGCGATGGGGTTGGGCCAGCTCTGGAGCTGTGGGGCACAGTGCGGCAACAGGACTGAAAAGGACTGAAAGAGCTGTTAACAAGTCCCCATTCTGCAGGCTGTGGTTGCACTAAAAGAGCTGTTAGCATGCTGTAACACCTCCTCTAGGGCTTTGAGGACACAAGCTTCCCTGTTTGGGTGCCATCATCTTACCCTCATTTGGATGTTGGAGTCTCCTGAAGGAGTCACTTGCGACACACCTGGTTCAGCCACAAGCCCTGCACGGAGCATGAACCTGTGCCAGCACTTGGAGTGGCTAGCCGGACCTGGCACTCACTCACCCAGACACACCCTCAACTGGCAGCTGAGTGCACCATCACAGTGGTCATGTTGTCCGTGCAGAGCACAAGTCAGGCATAGCCTGACGGGCTGAGTGGGAAGTGCACCTCCTGTGGTGAAGCCAGGGCCAAGCAAGGCCTGGGCAGGGATGTCAACAGCTGGGGAGGTCTCTGGCTGGCAAAATGGCTGAGAAAAATCCTGCATCAAGAATTTTATTCAATTTTTGGGATGGGGCAAAGGCAATTCATTTACTGATTTTAATTTTCTCTATATTTTTTCCAAAGACCTAAAGATTAAAGTTGTGTCCATGTACTACTATATATGTATTTAGGGTTAGCAGAGATAGGCCTTTTAGTTCTTGACCCTGGAAATTATATCTTACTTAAATATTTACTCTTGGAGATTTTGGACTTATTTTTTGACTTTTTTTTATAGGCCACACCATGTGGTGAATTAAAATTATTTGTGTATCATTTGCCAAGTAGGCCAATCTATCTCCCTTAAGTCTTATTAACCAGAAACTCTTACCATTTACATGGTGGCTTATAGAGCTTTTCTCTTCTAATGCTGAAGTGTCATGAAGACATCAGAGAAAGTTACATCACATGTTTTAGACAGGCATTTATTTGCAAAAAAGTTAATACAGTTTGAAAAATTTAAATACCAATAAACTACCTTCTTGTTTAAATTGAATGCAGTGCCTTACTTAGAAAATTTAACTCCTCACTTAAGTTTCCTTTCACGGTAATTGGCAACACCATAAATCTAATTGCTAATGTCAAAATCAAGGCATAGCTATTCATCTCTCATTCTGAAACAATAAATCACTAGAGTCAATTGACTCCACCATTTAAAGATTCTCAGATCCTCCACTTCTTCCTACCATTCTTATTCCCACAGGTATATTGCAGGGAACTGTTATGTCTCATTCTGATAAGTGACAGTCTTCAATCATTTACCTGAGAGCATCCTGGGTGAATTTTTTCAGAACATAAATTGTCACCCCTCCTTGACTGGCCTCTTGTGAAAGTTAGGATGAAGCTTTAATGTTTAATGAGTCCTATAAATTGCTATTATGTAATACTAGCCTACCTAGACTCACCACTCTCATACTGTTTCTAAGTCAACCATACAAATATGGTCTGGGTTACTTCTTTTTTCTGATTTTTACACTTTCAATCATGTTCTCTCTGGTTAAAATATTTCTCTTTATTCTTGCCCTGTTTGACCTATCCATCAACTGCTCATAATCTAGGACTTAACTTTTCAATTTTTTCTGATCCAACAACTAGGCATACTGGCCCTTCTACGGACAGTCCTTGTATTACCCACCTCCTCTATCCTACTGTTTATTGTAATTTTGACTGGCATCCTCATAGGCACATTAAAATTGCTAGGTCTGCAGCTAGCAACTGTGATGGCCCCATGAGGATGTCACACAAAAATACAATGAACTTTTTTTTACTATTTTTATTTTAATTTATTTATAATTGACCATATAAACATACAAATATATATAATTTGAATAGTAATGTGAGGTCCAATAATTTGATAGTTAATTCAGTAAGCATTTTTTGAGTATTTACATTGAGTTTGAAATGTATTGGCTGATGCTTTGCAAAGGTAACTTCAGATTTCATGGAACTTATCATGTATTTGGAAGTATAACTAATAAATTGAATAATGCCATTCTATTTATTCTATTTAATGCCATTCTACTTAAAGCCATTCTAAACTTTGGATAAATATTGGTTGAATGAATCAATAAATGACATCAATAAATGACAATTATTAATTTATCTATATTATACAATAAACTCACATTGTTGTGTGCTCCCTATCTATTGATTCTTGTTTTTGTTGTTTTAGCTTGGGTGTGGGGTGTCAGTGGATATCAACTAAATAAATCCACATCTCTCATGTATTAGTCAATGTCCTTGAGTTAAATCTGTTCCTCATAACAAAATGCCCAAGTGGAAGATTTTGAGGGAGATAGAGTGAAAAATCTAGATAATATTGAGAGAAGGACATAGATGCATATTCTGTCATCAGTAAATAAGAGAGAAAAAATATATTTAAATGTAGAAGGGAGATTAGCTATTTCAGAATGGTTGACATTATACAACGATTAAAAATAAAAGCAGTACAGTAAAATTAGACAAACCTTCTCTTGCTGTTCTAGTAGATGATGATCAGGATATGCCTGAAAAAGGGAGATTATTAATGTCACAATCTTATAATTTAAAATTAAAAAGGTAAATTTTATAATCTATAAACATTCGTAGTAACAGCCTAAAGCAGTGAATAAAGAATAAGAGTGAGTTTACAATGTTTTTAGAAGTGATTATATTTCTTGGCATAATTTTAACATTATAGTTCTTAGATGAAAATTATTATGGAAAACAATGTTTGGAAAATCCTTCAAATATGTTGTGTTCATTGTTACTTGTATAAAATCTACTGCAGCATAAACTAAAGCCTTAACATTAATCTTATTGTAACAGAGAGTATAAAGGAAAGATAAAACATATTGGGTTAATGTAAAAATAGAGCATAACAAAGGAATGAATCAGAAACATGTAAAATGGTCTTATGGGAATATTTTCTATTCTCTTTGTCATTTTCAGGGGAAATTTTAACATTTGCTTGCAGAGAGATATACTCACTTTTATTTTTTTCCTAGGATCATCCATTAAAACTACTACTCTGCTCTATTTTAATGGCATGTGAATTCATTACTTAAAATTAAGTCATTAAGAGCAAATGTGTATGGATTTACATTTTTAAATTTATTTTCAGGATTTTCTCTTTATCCATACATGTTATAACTTTAGTTTCTAATTAAAAATGCTTTTAAAATTGTTCCATTTTCACCCTCTTCTAACAAGCTCTTTGCCAACCCATTTACTTCATTAGGCTACGACTTTCTCCCTTAGTTAGTGGGTGCTTCAGCTCTTCCACACCCCATTACTTTTCAATTGTCTTCTCCAAAGCACCACAGCATAGAGCAAAATTAGGCGATATAGAAGAGTAAACAATGTTTCCCATCACCCATTTTTAAATATCCTATTTTTTTTTCTTTTCTCTTTCACTCTTTGTTTCCTGTTATGTTTCCAGTACAACCCACTGGATCTGTAATGTTTTGTGAAGATCTGCCTAACCTTTCTTCTTATCTGCTTAGCATCCCATCATCTGAGATCTGTGCTCTTTTCAACGTGACAGCCAACTAATCTAAAAATGTAATTGCTAACTGTGTGTAAAAGAAGTATTCATTATTCGTATGCTCATAAAAGGTTAGCGTCATGCTTTTACAGGTAATTTTTGCATAAATAATGTTGAAGAAAGAGCAGTATAAAATAAAATAAAAAACTCAATGATCTTCACCAAAAACTGACAATTTCTTTACTATATTTATTTTTAATATATTTACTATATTTATTTACTAAATATATTTACTATATTTATTTTTAATTTATGTTTAATTGAACATATAATTCTACATAATTGAAATAGTAATGTGAGATACAGTAATGTATTGATTAATTCATTAGGCATTTTTTGAGTATTTACATTGAGTTTGAAATTTGTTGGTTGGTGCTTTTCAAAGGTAAATTCAGACTGCATGGATCTTTTCATGTATTAAGAGGTGTAACGAATAAATAGAATAATTCCATATAGAGTGATAGCAACCACGTTAAAAGCACTTATAGTGTATCATGGAAACTCATCAGTGGGCAACCAATCAAAATCCTAGGAAGGAGTTCAATCAGAAGTGATACCCCAAATGAGACATAGAGAACATAAAACACCATAAAGCAAGATAGATTATGGTTATTCAATAAACAAAATTTTAGGCAGAGAGAACAACTAGACAGAAAGCAAGGGAACCACAAGAGTGAGTGCAAAGTGTATGATATATCTGTGCTTGAATTTATAAAGAAGCTATTGGGAGTAACAAGTGGAATCTTGGATAAGAAGATCAAGGCCAGGTCATGGAAGATGCTGTTGACCACACTAGGGATTTTGATCTTTATACCCAATTATGTTTGGGGATCTTAATAAACATCAGGCTTAGAAATAATTTTTATGTTAGGAAAATCTGTTTTTCTGCTTCATTTTATTTTGGAATTTTTGTTTTATTTTGCTTTGTTTTTAGAGAATGGATGATATGGTTTGGCTCTCTGTCCCCACTCAAATCTCATCTCAAATTGTAATCCCCATAACCCCACATGTCAAGAGAGGGACCTGGTGGGAGGTGATTGGACCATGGGGGCAGTTTCTCCCATGCTATTCTTGTGATAGTGAGTGAGTTCTCATGAAATCTGATAGTATTATTAGTGTTTGACAGTTTCTCCTTTACACACTGTCTCTTTCATCTGCCACAATCTAAGACATGGCTGCTTGCCCTTGCACCATGATTGTAAGTTTGTAAGTTTCGTGAGGCCTCCCCAGCCATGTGGAACTATAAGTTAATTAGACCTCCTTTCTTTCTAGATTACTCATTCTTGGGCAGTTCTTTATAACATTGTGAGAAAAGACTAATATGATGGAGGATAGACTTCAGGCAACAAGCCTGGAAGCATGAAGGTCAATTCTATGGTGACTACTACACTAAATCAGTTTTGGTAAAATGAGGGGCTGAACTAAGGTTATAAATAGGGTTAAATTACTAGAACTTGGATTTTTTTGGTGAGGTAAAAGAGGAGACATTGATGACTCCTACAATTTTGGATTTTCCAACTAAAATGTTACAACTGTCAGGGTCTCAAATGAAACTTAGATCAGTCAGGGGTACAATTATGCTAGTATAGCCAATATGACCTCCCTGAATAAAACATTTTCTTCATAATTGATGGGGCTCCCCAAGTAAGATCTATGCCATTCAGGAGCCATGAGCCATGGAAAATGAAAGAGAATTGGACCTACATATGGAGCTGTAGATGGTTGATTTGTCTGAGAGAAGAACCTGGGAAAATTTGCTGAGATTTCTGGTAGACTTCTGTTCACATTAAGGGAAATGGTGATTAAATTATAGCTAAAGCCATATAAAAGAGAATGGCAGTTAATAAAAGAGTGGACGGTTAAAATTTGGGAGCTTGCCACAGTTTGAGGAGCTGCACTATAGCTTTTTTCTTTGTGAGAAAGACTTTAAAGGAAGACTTTGAAAATATATTTGAATAGCATAAATATGATATCTTTGTATCTCTCTATTTCTGTATCTGTATGTATCATTCTTTTCCCCATGCCTGTTGGACCTTGGAGTTGTTGAGTCACTTGGGTTTACACATAATGGTTGCAAATTTCATCTTTTCATTCTTAGTGTAGGTGTATTCTCTGTAATTGTTGTCTAAAAATGGATCAGAAACTTCTGCCCACCCAGGCAGCCATAGGGCTGACTGTTACATTTGTGGCAAAGCCCTGTTACTTAGAGGAAGGTTAGCAACAACCAGGGTACCATTCAAGGAGCTGCCTTTGAATCTACTTTCCAGTACTCAGCCCTTCATTATTCTTTTTAATTCCCCCTCATTAACAGGCATCAAAGTGAAGGACCATTTATTATGTGAATAACCACAGGATTTATTCAATCTTCACAATACAGATTCACAGGGACTTTTCTCAAACTCTCTTAATTGGCCTACAAGGTCTCATTCTTCCTTTCTTAGAAAGCTATATTTCTGCCAGTGTCCCCATCTCATAGACAAAACTGTCAAGAACTGTGAATAGTTTGAGATGTTACCCTATTTTCAAGCTGAAATATTAGCCTCAAAGTTTCATGAATTCTGTCAGAAGACATGACCCTCTTGGATGAAAGCAAGTAAATTAGTTGGTCACTCTGATAGCGGTAGTCAGAAGAGCAGGTTCTTCTTGCCTTCTGTTCCATAAGCTCAAATTTCTACAGTGTGATGCAAAGAGAGAATTACACACAATGGCTTGAATTACAAAGGAGAAACTCTTTTTTTAGGAAATGCAAATCTTTTACAGGATGGGAATCAGAGAATCATGCCTGTTACTTGCTCTGGAGAGAAACACTATCTCTATCTTCCAAGATTGTTTGCTATACAAACAGCAAAGTAGTCTGAAATAAAAGCAATCAGTGTCTCTGCTCACCAGATGTGTAGAAAGGGAGGGTACACATGGCGAATTATCTCCCAGTACACCGAGGGTGCATAGATAAACAAAAAAGGAGCTTTCCAATGTATTTTTTTAAAAATGAATAATATTATCTGTGCCCTTGCCTCACACATGGATGAGGCATTTTGAGGATGCCTCAAAATGACCATTCTTTTATTAACTGCCATTCTCTTTTATATGGCTTTAGCCATAATTTAATCACCATTTTCCTTAATGTGAACCAGAAGTCTACCAGAAATCTCAGCAAATGTTCCCATGCCTAACACATGGATTAAGACCTACTTGCTACAATCTTTGTAATAAAACTAAAATAGAGTGTCATCCAGACAGAGAAGTGAAAGGCCTGCTTTTAGAGAGTATAGCTTATGCACTAGAACTGTTAGATAATTTGGCAAAATTGTTTTGGAGAAAACACCTGCTATTGGATGTGATAAAATAACTAAGACTAGACTTAGCCAACCAGTACAGTTTGGATGTTGAAATGCAGGCAGTGCAGAGAAGCGGATTCTGAGCAGATCAGGGTCTCATTGAACTGAGGAGGCAGAGATCGAGCTCAAATTTATGAAGTGCTTACGACATAAACTTGATTGTATCCTATATATACAGCTTCTTTTATTTGCCATTTCGACATATTCCTAGGGTTTCATTTATTCTACTATATGTTATGTTTACATTTACACTTAGTTGTCTTTCAAGACACAATAAAATAATACCATACCAAAATAATAAAATTTTGTTTTCTAGAGGGAAGATCTTTAAGTAGAAGCTAAGATAGAGATGTTTAGTCCAATGAGATTGTTGCAAGTTATAGCATTCAATGTGAGACAGCTTTTGTTTTTTCTTAATGCAATGAAGCTTTAGTTTTTATATCATGGCTTTTATGTCTCTGCCTTTGATATAAATGGTAGATTTTGAAATTTGGTATCTTTTCTTAAAATGATATATTAATTACATTTTCCATGGCCAGGAACTAGCATAAGGCCATGTTTTAATGATATATTAACATGGTTTCTCAGTATTATTGGAAATTTATTATGGAACATCAGCTTTTTAAAAAAACTTGTAAAGTGATTTTGAAATTTTCTCAATTCTAGAGTAAGGAGACATGTGACACAAGTCACAAGTCTATTCTTTGACACACTTGACATTTATGTTTTTGGAATATTGACTTTTTGACCATTTTATTAACTGATCTTTTGGTATGACCACCAGTGAAAGTCAACAGTTGCACTCACTGTAAATCTTTTCCTTGCGGCATTTCTTCAGCTTTTGATGATATTTTTTTCTGACAATTTTAGCGTTTGTACTTACATGTTTTTACAGTTTCCTTTGTATATGTGTGTATATGTACACACATATATATGCATGTATTTACATGTTCCATAATCAAGTGCATACGTATAGAATGTCACTTTGTATGAAGACAATTCAAAAGTACAATTATTCTAACATTGTTATCTTTTTTCTCCTTTATAAGTACATAAATTGTCTTGCACTTTATGCTCTTGAACATGTAGATTTTTATCAGCGTAAGCTGATTCAAGTGGCCATTAATATTTGGCCAAATAGCCAAATATTATTAATTTTAATATTCCATTGTCTACTTAATTATTATCACTTGCCCAGTAAGAGCCCCTTTAAGATGGCTTTAATACCTATGAAAACCTCAAAACTATACTAAAATTTGAAGTGTTATAAGAGGTTCCAGACCCAAGCCTTTATTTTTCTTGTCCCATGGCACATAATCAAACGTGCTTCAAGGAGCCCTAGTTACTTTTAGTAGACATTAGTAACAGAAACAAAATAATATCTAGATTGTTTTGTATGGGCCTTCATGAGAATTTTTCATGGAAAAAAGTGCAGTTATTGTGTTAAGATATGGTTAGGAATAATAGAGTTAGAAAAATATGTATTTTGTAAGTCATGATTTCCAATTAATGTTTTCATTATTACACTAGTTATAGCTTTCTTTCAATGTGAGGGGTTATGGATACCAAAGATGTTCTCATTTATTGATAGTACCTCCTCTGTACCTTTTAAACTTCAAGATTTTAGACTCTTAGCACAGTGAAGGTATATGTCAGTTAGATTTATAGATGTTATGATATTAATTGGGAACAACAATGGTATCGATTTTATAAGGACTGAGCCATATCTTTTTACTGACTGTGAACTCTCAGTTCCAGTGGAAGTTTCCTTGAGGGACAACCAAGCCCAGTTCATCACAGAATACATCAGTCCTTTTAGGGTTAATTATGACAATTCTTCAGGCACACATTAAAAAGCACATGAGTTGACACTTTGATTTCTCATCTGCAGCTTTCAAAGCTAGAATTCTTGAAATTGTTTTTCTTCCCTGTTAACTTTCTCCTCCACATCCAATTTTCTGTCAGGTTCTCTCACTTGTATTTCCTGAATATTGTTAGAATACTTCCCCTCTGCAAGTTCATTACTGTCACTGCCCATGATCCGGCTCCTTCTCCTCTCATTTATAGTATTATCCTCTTAACTTTTATTTCTCCAGCTTTGACCCTCCCCTGCCATTCCTTCCCATGCTGCTGTCACTGATTTTTATACAATGAGTATATAATGGCATTTTATCTCTTAAAATGCTTCCATGGTTTTCTGCTACATTTAAAATAAAACTGAAATACCCAACCATGGCAGAGGAGCCACTTCATTCCAGCTGAAAATCTCTTCAGCTTGTCATGATGTCGACATCACTTGGTAAATGGAAGACACTTTTCCAAAATTGTCATTTCTTTTTCTCTGAATTACAAACCACTTTTTAAAAGTGTTCTTGCTAAACTCATTTTTTTCTTTCCTTGAGATCAATTTATTCTTTAACATATGGATACCTATCCACTGCTTCCTTGTCTGCCCATCTCTCACTACTTTTTGTTAAGTATCTGTGATAGGCAGAATAATGCCCTCATACTCAAAGATGCCCATCTCCCAATCTCCAGCTCTGAAAACATATAATGTAAAATTCCAAAAAAATTGAAAATATAATGAAGGCAAAGGACATTGATTTAGGAATATTATTTTATATTACCTCTGTGGGGCCAATTGCACCATGTGAGCCTTTAAAAGCAAAAGAGCAAGCTGGAAAAGTGAGTCAGAGGTTTGTTGTGAGAAGGGCTGCACTCACCGTTGCTGGTCTTGGGGGAAAGGAAGTAGGCTAGGAGCCAAAGAATGTGGCAACCTCTAAAAGTTGGGAATGGTCCACAGTTTACAACCAGAGAAACATAGAGACCTTAGTTCAACAGTTGCAAGGAATTGAATTCTGGCAATAATACAATTGAGGAAATACATGGATTTTCTTCTAGGATCTTCCAGAAAGAAACAGAGCCCTGCAGATGCCTTTATGACCCAGACACTTCTTCTAACGTATAGAACTCTAAGAATATCTCTCTTATGTATTCTCTTTTACCTTTATTAAAACACACACTACACAATATCAGGTTTGCCAATTGACTTGCCACTGTCTCAAAAGACTGTGCCCTCCTCGTTGGCACTGTTTTCATTCTTATCAACCTGCAGAGTGCCAGGAACATAGTAATTATTCAATAAATCATAGATAAATTAGTATATCAAAGTAGCACAATTCATACATTTAATTTATCTACTGTGCTTTATTACAAATAAAAATACCTTTAGATATCATATTTAATTTTTAAAATATCTGTTCCTTTCTCTTTTATTTTCATCCTCTTCATTCTTTTCCTTTTTTTCTTTACTTTTACTTCATTTTATTTTATCTTTTCTGCCTCTTTACATGAAAAAAAGGCTTCAATATTTTCCAAATACCAACAGATTTGTCTATTGAACACTTTCAACCTTTTTTCACTTCTATTCCCCTCCATGGAAACAGAGTCAATGCAAGCATAATTAATTTTATAATTTAGTAGAACTCACTGACAAATAAATTTAGTGCAAAAATTATTTGGCTAAGCAAAGTGCTATCACATTTCTTTTTGACATTCAACAATGGTAAATAAATGGAAGAAGTATAAATAGATTACCTTCAAAGTGACAACTATGCACAGTGTTTCATTTCAACTACTTTCAAAACTTTAAAAATCCATTATGAACTACAATAATTTACAAATAAACTCAATTAATTAAGCTTTGGCTAATAACTTAGCATCACTATATTGATTGTAATTTTCCATATATGAAATTATGTTACTTATTTTCAGGAAGCATAAGATTTGCATTCTGTATTCAGTTAATATTAGATTAATTGTAGTACAGCCTTAGAAGTTGGCCTGACTTTGTCTTTACTCATCATATGACTGCTTTGAAATACAAAATAGATTTGGGTAAAGAAAAAGAGAGTGGAAAAATATGGTATAATTTATAAAATTTTAATTTATCTTGCCATCGTGGATAAGTGTTACTAGAAATATCTTAACCCTTTTATTCCAAAATGTACATTTTTTCTCTAATGCCACCTTTTTCAGGAAAGGAAATTTGGGGTAGAAGAGAGATAATAATTTTATATCCAGATCGGCAAGCCATTCTAGCAGAATAGATTACAATATTTATTTACTTATTTTGCTTTTTCAATGATATGTTCTTTTCTGCAAACAGTTAGACAATGGTGGAACATTTGATAAACATATTTAGGAGAATAAACTTTAGATGAAAGTGGTCCACAAACCAACTCTGTAGAAGACGATGGAAACAGTTTCTCTGGGCTGCATCCTCTGCTAAAGGAAGATGAACTGTATGAGGGCGCTTTCAGCTCGCTTCTTAGATTTTCAATGAGATTATTGGAAGATGCTTCTAAAAGCAACTCAGGATGGTCAATGTGAGGGTTCAGCATCCAGAATATTGGACCCTCTCTCTTCACTTCACATACAGTGGCTGCACTTATGTTTTTCCATATCAAGTAATAAGATTCTATCTAACTTTTATTTAAAACTTTTAAATGCTTTTACGTTTAAACAGATAAATTACAGTTTGTCAAATAATTTGTCTAGATCTAAACTGCAGCATTTCTAAGTAAAAGGATATGTTGTGAAAAGAAAATGGTTACGAATAAGATAAACTCCTTATTTATATCCTACTAATCTTAAAATTATCTAACCAGAAATTGTAATTTCTTCTTATACAGTCAGTGGCAGATGTTGAGGAAAGATTATATTGGAAGACAGAATGTACAAGATGAAAGAAAAAAATTCTACACTAAACCATGACTGGTTTGAGACTAGCAAAATTATATAAAAATCACTAACTGCCAGACAATATGAGACTCAAAAAGACGTTCTACAGGCTTATGAGCTTGTTAAATAGAGTCTTAAAAAAACTATAAAATTTGTTTTAAAATATGAGGAACAAGTCTCAGCAAACCTCAAGAATAAACCTTCAGAAGATGTTACCATGTCATAGGGAGATTCAGATAAATATCAACAATTAACTTAGAAAATTCTCAAACTGTTTGAAATTTAGTAAGTGTTCTTATTTAAAGATGATAAAAATACAACATCTTGTAAATTATGCTATGCAGTTAAAGCTTATGTAGAGGAAAATATGTAATTGTAGTTCTTATAATTGAAAAGTTGAACAGCTGACACAGTTTAATTATCCAGCTCAAGGTGTTAAAAATAGAAAGCCATAAAAATAAGAGCCTAAATGAGACAGATAAGATATTGAAATATTGAAATCAAATTTAAACTTATACAAAATCCTTCTAAACTCTTATGCCTGTTATTTGAAAATGTATTATTGTAAAAAATTTCCACCAAAATTAAACAGAAAGTTACACTAATATCAGAGGTGGAAAAGGGGCATCACTACATGTGCTACAGTCTTTAACAATAGATCTGACTGAATGCTTTCCCTGAGACCACCAATTACCACTTCTGTTTATAACTGGCCCAGAGCTCTTAGTAATAAAGTAAAAAGAAAAAATTAAAGGAAGTTGGAAAGAAAGAACTAAGTCTGTCTTGATCCATATACAACATTATGGTCTCTATGAATAATCCAAGAAAAACTCTAAATTATAGAAATTTATACGAACTTTTAGCAAGGTTATCAGACACACTCATGTCAAATATCAATTTTTATATAAAAGCATCCAACAAATAGATACGTCATTTAAAATAATATTACTATAAACAATCAAGCATCTAGAATAAATCTAGAAAGAGTTATGCAAGATAAAACAATATTAAATTTAGCTGAGCAAAATCATAACAGGCCTAAATAAATAGAGGTATAAATTGCATTTGATGTTTGTGATTTGGAAGACTCAACAGTGTAAAAACGTCAATTTTCTGCAAATTAGTTTACACATTCAAAGAAATCCCAAACAAAATATTAGAAAAGAGAGAGAGAGAGGGAGAGAGAGAGAGAGAGAGAGAGAGTGTGTGTGTGTGTGTGTGTGTGTGTGTGTGTGTACCGACAAACTATTTCTAATTTTATATGGACAAGTAAGTAAGAGGCCAACAGGATCTAAAGCATCTAAAGAATGAAATCTGAGAAGTACCCTACTTGATACCAAGACTTTTAGGCCCACAAGAATTAAGACAGTATGGTACTGGCTCAAAGACAGACAAGCCAATTAATGTAATCATGAACTGAGGGCATGCAAAGATTTTCTAAAACGAATAAAAGAAAACAAAAGCAAAAACAACTAATCATAAAATTTGAAAGTTGGAAAACAGTATAATTATGAACTTCTATTAATCAAAAACTTTAAAAAATTGAAAAGGCAGACCACAGACATAAAGAATATAGCTGAAATATACTGATCAATGGATTCACACATCAAATGTATTAAAAATTTCAGTGTATAAAAGTGATAAACGTAATCACAAAATGAACTAGAAACAAATAGGCATTTCAAATAAACAAGATAAACAAATGACTAATAAACATATGAAGAGAGGCTCAATCTCATTGTTTATCAGGAAAATGCAAACTAAGCCACAATGAAATTATTATCATCAAATTATTTGTACTATAATAACCAACACATCTATAATGCTGTGTATGTGCCAAGCATAGCTGTAAAAGTGTTACATGTTTTCTTTATAATCTTTACAACTATATTATTTTTGTTTTCATATGAAGAAACACAAAGCAGCCAAATAATTTATAAAAACTTTTAGAACTGCTGAATGGGAGAGTCAGTATTGGCATATTATTTATTTAAGCTGGAATTATCATATGAGAAATATAACCTTTCATTCTTCTCTGTGAATTCCTTTACATATAGTAATATATTCTTCAGAATTAAAGAGCAGAGAAAAAATTACACCGTAAAGTTTTTACAGATTTATGAATGCATAATTGATATATCTTAAAAACTACACCTATTTAATATATAAAATTTGATGAGTTTGGATATAAGTGTACACCCATGATACCATAACCTCAGTTAAGGTAGTAAACATATCCATCACTCCCAAAGGTTTTCCCATGTCCTTTTTTTTTTGTTTTTGTAAGAACACTTAACATGAGCTCCATCCTCTTAACAAATTTTTAAGTGCACAAACTGTACTTTGAATTATAGGTATTATGCTGTATACCACATTATCTAGAACTTACTTATTTTGTATAACTATAACTTTATACCCACTGAACAACAATAACCATTGTGTCCTCCTCCTACCTCCTGGCAGTCACCGTTCTATTTTGCCTTTCTATACCTTGGCCATTTTAGATATCTCATATAAGGGAAGTCATTCAGCATTTGTCTTTCTGTCACTGACATTTCACTTAATATGATGTCATCCAGACTCAGGTAAGTTGTTGCAAATGTTAGGATTTCGTTTTTTCAGGCTGAATTTTATTCCATTGCATGTATATTTCACATTTTTGTTTTTCTTTACCCATTCATCTGTCAATGGACATTTTGGTTATTTTCATATCTTGGCTATTGTTAATAAAGCTGCCATAAACATAAGAGTGTAGCTATCTCTCTGAGACCCTGAATTCAGATCTTTTTAATATATGCCCAGGAGCAGGATTGCTGAATCACATGGTGGTTCTATTTTTAATTTTTTGAAGAACCTCCATGTTTTCCATATTAGATGTGCCATTTTACAATTATTTCTACCAAAAGCATAAAGCGTTCCAATTTTTCTCCAGCCTTTCCAACACATTTTGTTTTTGTTTTTGACAATAGCCATCCTAAGAGATGTGAAGTAATATCTCGTTGTGATGTTGCTTTGAATTTTTCTGATGTTCACCAAATCTTAATTACTGTTCTTAACTGCTATTGCCAGATTCCAACAGAGCAGCTTGACGTTTCACAAATTCCATATTTTTGGTCATAAAATTGGTAAAAACAAAGAATGAAGAATAGATATACATTCTTCAAGGACTGCAACCCTGCCTTTTTGGCTGACAAATGTGTCCTCAGGGTCTAATGCAGTAACTAATGCATAAATAAATGTGCATTTAATGGGTGGGTCTGCTTCTGTTGGATTTGTTTTCTTATTATACACATGCAATTATTCAGACTTATAATTGTTATATATTCTAAACCACTAGACAATGAACACTTTGATAGTATAAATGTTTCCTTAATCAACAGAACATGTTTACTTCTTTCTTCGCATTTTTGCTCACAATGTATAAATATTTTAAATGAATATCCCCATCACACTCCCTTCTGCCTGGTTAACACTTAGTCCCTTGCCGTAGAACAAATTCTTAGTCCTCTGCAAATAATTTCAAAATTAATCTTTTTCCTACAGTTCTCATGTTAGTTTTGCAATTGTGTCCTATCATTACTTCTTTTGTATTTAAAATTCTATATTTATATTTTCCTTGTGATTATGTGATTTCTTGGTATACAAATAAATTATTGTTATTCAAATACCATGACTTCTGAAAATTAGTGTTGTTTGAAAGTTTCTTTGGTTCTATCCTTTATTTTATTTTTCAAAATGGGTCTTAATTTAAACTTGCCCTCTAATATATCTTTTATATTTAAGGACTCACTAACAAATAGTGTTTAGTTTTCCCAGGATTCATATTTAGAGTCCTAAGTAGATATTAAGTAAAATATTACTACTTTCCAAAAGAAAAATCATCTTGAATTTATCTCACAAAGAGTATTGTTTTATCATTTTATTAATCATTTTTATATCTAAATAGAAATTATTGACTGGGCGTGGTGGCTCACGCCTATAATCCCAGTGCTTTGGGAGGCCAAGGCAGGCGGATCAAGACGTCAGGAGTTCGAGACCAGCCTGGCCAATATGGTGAAACCCCATCTCTACTAAAAATACGAAAAAAAAAAAAAATTAGCTGGGCATGGTGACATGAGCCTGTAATCCCAGCTACTCGGGAGGCTGAGGTAGCAGAATCACTTGAACCCGGGAGGCGGAGGTTGCGGTGAGCCGAGATCGTGCTAGTGCACTGCAGCCTGGGTGACAGAGCGAGACTCCATCTCAAAATAAATAAATAAATAAATAAATAAATAAATAAATAAATAATAAATAATATCAAATATAATCAATTTCTATGAAGTAGCATTTATAATAAATGTCTTTATTCAAATACCAAGATATCCTATGCTAATTATGAAATAAATGGACACCCTAATATATGTGTTACAAGCTACTTTGATATTAAATTTTTCATCATTATAAAATTAGCTTTTTACCAATTTTTTTCAGGCTTGTATTTTTTAAATATATTTTAAATCTTTTAATTCACAAATAAAAAGCAAATATATGATAAAATTAGTCAATTTGCCCTCAAGTCACATTTTGTATTTCTAAATGCCAAGATATCTTGGTACTGACAATCTACTTGCCACTGCATTGCAAAGAAAATTCAATTTATGGAAGATCATGCACTTATTTGCAAGTCATTTCCTAAGATTGCAAAATATTTTCATATTAGCATTTGATAACCTGTTTGTTTTTCTTTTATTTATGGTAATAATTCTACATATTTATAGATTACATGTGATTTTTTATAGATGCAATGTGTAATGATCAAATCAGAGCAATTGGGATATCCATCACTTCAAACGTTGATCATTTATTTGTGTTGAGAATATCTCAAATCTTCTTTTCTAGCTATTTTGAAATGTACAGCAAATTACTGATAAGTATAGTCAGCCTAGTGTGCAATAAAACACTATAAATCATTCCTTCTATCTATGTGTTTGTACCCCTTAATGAACCTCTCTTCACCTTCTACCCCTTCTCTTCTTAGCCTCTGGTATCCAGCATTCTAATCTCTACCTCTGTGAGATAAACTTTAAAGTCTCTCACATATGAGTGAGAACATAAACATGATAAAGTTTTGAAAATGGCTTTGTAGTTTCATATTAAAACATTTAATCATAATGTGTTTATTCAAATGTTTACTTTCAATAAAATAATGAAGCAGCAGAAATGGTTAATAGTTTACGTTGTAACAACTATTGGTCAGAACCTAATACAACAAATTTTAAGAGGTAAAAAGTACATTGTTTAAATATTGCAGTGTTAGTAATTAAAAAGAAAATAAAATTAAATAAAATATATTTTTCATTTTATTTGAAACTGAAGTTTAAAGAAATTTTAAATAGAAAATGAAAAAGATAAAGTATATGGTTTTTGAAACTTGAAACAAAGCTAAATGGAATGGATAAGATCTAGTATTTGATAGCACAGCAGGGTGACTACAGTCAACAATAATTTATTGTATATTTTAAAATAACTAAAAGAATATAATTGGATTGTTTGTAACAAAAAGAAAAAGTGCTTGAAGTTATGAATCCCCTATTTACCCTGATGTGATTATTATGCATTGTATGCCTGTATCAAAATATCTTATATACCCCATAAATATATATACCTACCATGTACCCACAAAAATTAAAAATTAAAAAATCAAATTATATTTAAAAAGAAGACTTCTGACATTTTCAAAGGCTGCTGCTAATAATACTGGCTCTATATAAAAACTCACTTAGGTGGGGTGTACTTGCCAAAACCTGTAGTCCCAACTCTCAAGAGGCTGGGGCAGGAGGATCATTTGAGTCCAGGTGTTCAGAATTACAATGAGCTATAATCATACCATTGCACAAAAAAATTTAAGTTCAAATGGTGTGGGCATTTCATTTCAATCACTGAGACGGATAAAATACAGTCATCAGTACTGATTATTTTCAGTCTTTCTGTTTATTAAAATATTTAAACATCTGTGGTACTTTTTCCTTAAAATCCAAGAAAATTTGTTCATTTCCCAAAACAATTCTGCTTTTTTGCTTTATTTAACCTTGCATACTGCAATTGTTATAGTTTTATGACATCCTCAGTTTTTCTCTATGATCTTAGTGCCTCACATTTGGAGCTTATTTCCTTTGTATTCTGCACCAGTAGCCAGGTTTTAACCAATCATTACTACTTCTCAAATCTTTAAGTCCTGGCTTAATAAGGCCAAGCATCTCATCTACTACTTAAAACTAAAGCAACTAAAATTCCTATTCAAAATGTCATTGCTAAATTAACAATCATAGTCCAGGCTGGTTATTGAGCATTTTTTTCATGTTGATGAGTTTGAGCCTAACCATTGACTTATTGAGTTTTTTACAGCAATATGAAGGGCTTCACAATCGGTTAATTACCCTAGCTATTGTCAACTCTTTCCTGGGTCCCAGTGTGTCAGAGAAGAATAGAATATAAATAGACACTGAAGTCAAAAACCTAATCACTTATAGAGCAATATGGGGCTTTTCAGCTCCTCTTCTACAGCACTGAAGTGAAATGTGATTTGCTTCTGTGAATGCTAATGACCAACCAGACAGCAAAGCTGAAGATTAAATGAGTAGATAAGGGTGAAATAATCAAAGATAAAAATAATATTCTTAATATGGTGTGCTAACACTGCATCCAGAGAATCATGTCTTCGGCTGAATAAATGTTTCTGATATTTAAAAAATGGTCAATTACATTCTTATCCATATAGTCAAACCAATATATTAGCACTGGCCAACTTTCTGATACCAGTAGACAAAATTACATGTGTTTTTTTTTTTCCACACTCAGTAGCTGAAAAATTAGATTTCATATGCTGAGCATAATCAGACTATGTTTGATACAAGTATAGCCTTTGGTTATTAAAAAGATAAGGCCTAGGAAAACACTCTTTCTAAAAATCTACTATGATAATGAATTATTTATCCCTGAATGTATTCTGCTCTTTAGAGAACATAACCAAAAAATAATTTTTTTAAACATTAAAATGAGTTTTGATCTGGGAACTACATTAATTGTTCGTAAAAATCAGGTTTATATACTAGTTTTGCAAAGTCTGAGCACAAATTGATAAAGTAATAACACCTGTTACCTAAACTTTTTATTTCATCTATCCAATTCATTCAATACACAGATACTAAAGTAAAAATTGATATAATATAGAGAGGACTAATTAAATGATGTAAAACTGGTGAAAATTATTAAAAATATATATACTACAGAGAGCAGATAGAAATAAATTTCTGAGGAAAAGATACTGAACCAAGTAAAATGTAATATCTAAATGTCAAAATACATAAATCAAGAAGCCTAGAAAATATTCAAGTATTTCTCAAATAATTTATTATTTGTTTCTCTCTAAGAATTGACAAAGGAGATAACACATAACAGCACTAAAGACATGACAAGCAAAAGAAAAGGAGCTAAAACTAGAGAAGACAATTAAGTGATGATTAAATTAGGAAATGAAGCAGTGATGAGGGCAAGGACAAATGGAGAGAAATGAAAGAAGAAAGCCATAAAAAACAACTGGGGAAAGCATAAGGAAGAATATTTAAAATGTGAATTAATTAATAAAACTTGCAATCGTGACTTTTCATTGTTCTCAGGTTAAAATCCAAAATCATTAATATGATGCAAATATCCTAAATAGTCTTGATCTTTTATTTTCTATCTTATATTCTTTGTTCTCACCTCCAAATTTTCCATCGTCACCTCCCATCCTCCATACTCCAACCCCTATTTCCACACATATTGTCACTTCAAATATATTCAAATAGTTGACGTCTCAGAGATCCAATCAATCATCCACAAGGATGTAGACATTAAAATACAATAGAATTTTATCAACTCCTATCCCACAAGTTATTGACACAGAAGAACACAGGAAATTTCACCTGTGATACAATTACTCTGGACTTGCCATGATATTAACTGAGACAACTAGTTTTGGATATTGATATTCCACATAATGACTCTGCTCCCCAAACACAAGTTATTAAATAGAACCTCCAAAGACAGTCAAGTTGTCCTTTCATACGTAACCTGGCAAAATTGAATACATGGTGATATAATGAGGTATTTTAAATAAAATGTAAAGGGCATTAACATATCTGATATTATTGTCAGAGGCCCTGTTGCCTTCAGAGATAAAATATTAATTTCCTAAAATATTCCTCTGTTATGACTTAGTTCAAATCTCTGTTTGCACAAGCACCCAGCCTGCAACATCACCATGTTCAAATAGTTTCATTGAATCCCAGGTGTTCATATGTGGCCATGTATGGTTTTCAATGATTAAATACCCAGAAATATCTGTAAATTACTAGGTTGTCAATTCACAGTGATTCATTTGAAATATTTTCACCATAATTGCTTCATTAACCAAGCTTCTACAATTGTGATTTTTTTTTGTTCATTTGTTTCCTAGAAGTACTTTCTGACTCATTGCAAATTCATTTGGATGAAAATGATTCATCAAACTCAGAATTGAGGGCAATTCTTTTCAATAGGACATTGGTTTCTTTCTATCTGTTGTGAAATATCTGAAAAAGAATTATCATCAGAATAAAATCTATATCTGTAGACCTACACTATTATGTATTAATGATTAAGAGTGGAAATTCTGGTATACATGACCTCAAATACTAGCTCTGATATGTATTACCTTTATGGCCAAGGGTTATTACATAACTTTTTAGACCCCAAGTTTCTTTATCTACAAGAAGAATATTAATATGAGCAATATATGCTTATAGTTAACATGAAATGAGATAATTCTTATAAGCACTTAACCCATTCTTCTCATTTACATACTTTACACCTATATATTTTACAAATATGCTATTCATTTTGTTATATTTATTACAGCTGCTGTTACTCTTATTCCTACTGGCATATTATTAAAATACGCTTTTAACAAAATATTTGCTGCTAATTTATCTGTTCTATATCAGTAGTTATATATAATATACACACACACTATATGCATATATAATATATGATACATTATATATTCATTTATATACATATAATTGGTTATACACTGTCAGCCTAATGTCATTAAAAGGAAATAGAAATATGTGAAAAAAGATCAACATAAATAATCTTGGGAGATGTACTAATAAATTAGCTCAAGAAAGATTTGTTTATTTTGGCAACATACAGTCATTAATTCAAATGAGAGAAACTTATGAACCTGAAGATAAAAAATCCATATGGAATGGTTGTTAATCTTAAGAAGCTTACGTTGGATTTCTTTGATTCACTAATTATTGTTGGTGCCTTAGAATATAAATGAGCAATGTTTTGAAATAATTGATGAGAAAGGCTGATTTTTTTATTGAGACAATGTTTTTCTAGTGATATGAAGAGCACACAATTTAACTTGGGGAAAAGAAATAAACTTTACATTTTACTTTATAATCAAATTTCTGTAATAATATTAAGCATTGAATCCATTGTTAAGGAGTGAAGTGAAAATTTACTCAGATCTACATACTGTTACTAAATTTTTTAAGTTTATAAATTTATAAAAATGTACCATGTTTTACTATATTATTTTCTCACTTTATCTTTGTCCCGAGATAAATGATGTATGATGATGCATTATTATTTAGAATTTAAAAAAAGAAGAATCCTAGAAATTGGCACATAGGGAATAATTTGTCTGTCCTTTGACATAGATAATTCTGAGGTAATTGCTGCTCCTGGTTACAATCACTTTTTTTTAATATCATGTCCCAGACAACATTATTTTTTTTGTTGCAATTGTTTCTGACTTTAAAAAAATCCTATGTCTTCAGTCTCATGTATTTATGAAAGTAAAATGTCTTATTAACTTCTTAACTCTATCATTTATCTTAACATTTATCATATAAGTAAAATATGTGTGCCAATAAGGGTGTGTGTGTGTGTTTGTACATGTTTTCACATGTATATTACATACAGATTGATACAGATATGCTCACATATTTTCATAATCATAAAATAGATCTATCAACATATAAATAAATTTGAAAATTTTATCAAAAATTTCTATGATAAAAAATTATTTCACCCTAAGTTTTTATACACTATTCTAAATTTATTGTCCATCAAAGTCATTAAATATAAGTGCTTAATTATTATCTATAAAACCACATTGGTTAGTTAAAACATAATTTGTAAGTGTGCATTTGATCTCCCAAAATTACTCAGGGCATTGAGGAGCTAAACATGACCTTCAGATGGACAGATGGTTTATACAGTACGGTACTGACACTGGTCCTCTTGACAAAAAAAAAAAAAAAAAGGCATAAAGACACTGTATACAAGTTAATGCTTATGGTATTTTATTTATCAAGGGTTTGATATTTGTTGCTTAAAGAATGTAAAGTTATTTTGTATATAATATAAAACCTAAATATATAATTGCCAACAAGATACAAATGCCTAACACATAATGCCTGAAACATTAGATACTATACTTTATGCTCTCGTAAGGGTTAGACCTCCAAGAGAAAAAAAAAAGAAAGTTTGATACAAAGAAATATTAAAAAATTCTGTATTCTGAGCATAGACAAAGTGTCAACATACAGGCACAACAAAAGGAACATGGATGAAAAGTTAAAGAGAAGATAAAACATCGCTGCCACAGTGAGTGCTAGATATGGTGGTAGACATAGAGGACATTTATATTTACAATAAGAAATTAGAGAGCCCAGAAGCTTCTGAGATCAAGATCTTGGAAAGTTCCACAATAACCAGAACTTTATGAGACTTAAGAATGTTTGAAATCTTAAAGGTAACAATAACTGTGCTAAGCCTAACTCACATCTCTATACAAAAGAGACAAGCGATTACACATATCTGCATCTTCATCAAATGAAGCATTGAAAGATTGAAGTTCTGTATTGATTGAAAATCACAGTAAAATAAAGTTGCTGCTCAGTACTCACAGGAGATTGGTTCCAGGACCTCCTGTGGGTACCAAAATCCACGGATACTTAAGTCCCTTTTATAAAATGATGTAGTATTTGATTATAACCTACTAACACTCTCTTGTATACTTTAAATCATCTCTAAATTACTTATAATACCTAATAAAATGTAAATGCTATGTAAATAGTTGTTATACTGTATTGTCTAGGTAAGAATAAAATGGAAAAAGTCTGTACATATTCAGTACAGAGGTAGCTATGCATTTTTTTCCAAATGTTTTTGATCCATGTTTGGTTGAATCCATGGTTGCAAAACCCAGGGATACGCAGGGTTGACTATATTATGGATTGTTTCATATATAAGGCAGTACTGTTTTAGTGAAAAGCTAAAATAAACTATATCTACTTAAGAAGACATGATAATAGCTGAGAATATTGGAAAAATAAGTTTTTGACGCACATCATGATACAGAAAGTCACTCCTCTCCTACGAAAAACAAAAAACAAAAACAAACAAAAAACCCTACAAACCACCCATAGGAATTATTTAATAATAATGGAATTTAGCTGGATACATGGTAGATAAATAATTGTCAGTTACATTTTTTATACTAGCAATAAAAATGGGAATGAAATTTAAATAGAGAACTCCGTTTGTTACGATAGCCAAAACATTACATTTCTATGAATGAATCTAGTAAATATATGAAAACTTTGCAATATCTTCACACTGAAAACTATGAAAAGCATTTCTTAAATTATATCTAAATAAAATGGAGTTATTCCAAGTTAATGGATTGTTCTACTCTTACTAGTAAAATGCCTATTCTTCTCAAGTTTCCCTAAAGCTTCTATGCAATCCTCAAAAAAATTTCAGCATGATTTTTCTCTTATGGAAATTGAGAGTATGATCCTAACATGTAGATTGAAAGTCAAATGTCCTAGAATCACTAAAGCAATTTTGAAGCAGAGCAAAGCAGAGCAGGTATTACCACATACCATGACTTACTATAAATACATAGTAACCCAAACAATGTGACATTGTTTCAAGGACAGACAAATGGTCCAATGCCACAGAATACAGAGTCCAGTTAGAGACCTGCACATTAATCTTTAATTGATTTTTAAAAGTCCTCATTACAAATTCTCTGGGGAAAGGATGGTTTTTACAATCCATGGGGGAAAATGGTTATATTAATTCACTTCTCTTTCCAAACAAACACAAACTAATGTTAGATGGCAGATAGACCTAAATATTATACATATATTTATCAAATTGCTAGAAGAAAACACATAAAAGTCTTCATTAGCTCAATCTCTGAATAAATTTCTTAAATAACATGCAGTATGCAATATCTATTACAAACATTGATAAATGGTGCTTCATTAAGAAAAAAAAAATCTGGTTTTCAACAAACCTGATAATTAAGGGAAGTGATGCAAAGACAACTGTCTGGGAAGAGAAATTTTCTCTCTCTCTCTCTCTCTCTATATATATATATATATGTTTGTATAATATATAATATATATAATATACATACACATACATATGTATATATATAGAAAAATAGGTTGAATTGAATGTGTGCTTCACAGAAAGGTATCAAAAAGTTTCATAAACTTGTGGAAATGTTTTATTATCATTATTGATCACAGATATGCAAATTAATATTACAATGAACTATCATTACATATCAGAATATCTAAATAAATGGCTGAAAATACCAAGAGTTTCTGAGGACGTGGAATAACAGTAACTATATTGGTAGTGATTACAAAAAATGTAAAACCATTTAAAAGAAAATGTTTTGGTAGAACCCACTTGAAGAAAAAAAAAATATTATCCTTTCATATGCCTGGAATCAGCAACTCCATTCCTATATTCTGTATGCCCAACATAAATACACCAAAACCGATATGAAAAAGTGAACATGGAAATTTTATTCATTGCAACCATAAACTTGGCAAGACTCAAATGTCCAATAACAGTAGAATGGGTTAATCACGATAGTGTTTACAATTGGGTATGATCCTGACTGGAGCATGGTATGAGGGAGTCTACTTGAGTAGTAGTTACACAATCTTTATGTGTATTACATGAATTACACATTTAATATATGTAGAGTTTTCATATGGGATGCCTTCAAAGAGGGAAATAATATTTGGCAATTTTTGCCCATGCTAAATCAACCATAAATATTATAAAATAATACTTTTGACAATGAAAAATATCTTCATCCTGAAGTTCACAAAGTAAGTCGTATATAATTGTATTTTATAAACCACATATTAGTTTACCACTGTGAACTACATGTATTCAGTTTCTTTGTTTCACTATTGTAATATTATACCAAAAGCATAGTATATTATAGGCAAGTGTGCAATTTACTTAAAAAGTAAATTAGTATCATCTTCTGTTGTTATCCTATTTTTTAATATCTTAGAGCATTGCCTTAGTCCATTCTCACATTGCTATAAAGAAATACCTGAAACTGGGTAATTTATAAAGAAAAGAGGTTTAATTGGCTCACAGTTCTGCAGGCTGTACAGAAAGCATTGCAGATCTCAGGAGAACTCTATCACAAGACAGCACTAGGGTAACGGTGCTAAACCATAAGTAATGACCCCCATAAGCAAACTGCCTCCTACCAAGCCCCTTTTCCACACTGGGGATTACAATTCGACATGAGATTTGGGTGGGAATACAAATTCAAATGATATCAAGTATGGCATTATAAAAATGACTGTCTCAAAGCATACAATTTCAGGTTTATAAGGACTCTATTATCACATGAGATACTGTTATGTAAAAATGAATGACCTTTCATAGCATTTTACTACAAAAAGCTTTCATTTTTGAAAATTGTAAGATTTGAAAATAACCCACAACAGTGGAAGGAACTTGATCCTAAGTTTTGAAGATTGTTAGAAAATGAAAATTATGTATACAGCGCCAACTGTGTGTGATACAATGTTACTTTTGTCCTAGAAATGTAATACATTACTTAATCTAACAATTAGAGTGTGTATGTTATCTTATTTACAGAAGTCAGAATTAATGCTTACATTTAAAACAAATGCTTATACCTTCTACTGTGCATAGGGGCACAAAAAAAGAGTGAATTTATCCTGGAATAATAGCCACAAGTTCAAAACCCATTACAACATTGACGGTGTGCTTCTTAAAACTGCTCCTGCCAGAAATCCTTCCAAAAATGGCATATTTGGGAGGAATTAAACAAAAATCATTCTTGGCTGTCTTTATTAAAAGTGTGTTTTCTTCCTCTAAGTCTGTAGGATTTGGAGCAAGCCAAAATATCCTTGGATAAAACTTTTAAAATTCCTACTTAATAATGCCAGAAGGTTTGTGAATTTAAATTGGAATACAGATAATATTTTACTGGCATTTTAGTCAAGAATGAAGATTATTCTCAGCTGCTCTAATATCTGATAGAGTAGGAATCATTATTTTCTATAATGATTTTCAGGTAAGAGACAAGGGAGCCCAAAGCAAAACAGCCAAATTTACCTTTGTTTTTGGCAGCCATTCTGGGTTGTCTCCTCATCACTATCTCTTAGACATACATCTTCCTTGCTATTAAAACTCCACACGGGCTCACCATTCTCCAATTTGCTTTCAGCAGTGCTCTGCCTTTCCTAGGAAACATGGAATGGCTCTTAACCTGCCTCTGACAAAAATGTGGTCTCATTTGCCTGATGAGTGATTGCTTTAGGCAAGGTCATCTGACAAAATTATGCCAATTCAATTATACAGAGAAGTTCTCTCAATGTGAATGTATTCTATGATGAATTTTCTTGTTCCTGATGGAGATGAAAGACAGATGATTTTTTTTTCTGCTTCTTGATTTTGGCCTCCGCATGTGACACCAGTTGCCATACTAGAACTACTAGAAGACAACATTCCGAGGAGGGCAGAATGGAAAACTACATTCTTATTCAGCCACTGAGTTAGCCATATCAGTATTGCCTTACTGCCAGAAATGTTTTTATTTTATCTGTTACTTTCACATGCAAAACATTGTAACTTTTATTTTTCATTTCTTATATTTCAAACTGATTCCTACAAATTATAGAGTAGATTCTAAACATTTTAAAGTAGAATATAAATACCATTGGAATGCCAGTAACATTTTGCTAACTTGGAAGAGAGCCAAAGGAATCAATTCAGGAGACAACTGTGTATGGGTTCTCCGAAAGGAATAAAACTATGGTCCCTGTCTTCAATGAGAAATAAGTTGAATAATTTGAAAACAGTGTAGTCACTGGAATCAACCTGTGAGCACCCAGTAAGTTTTGAGCATACAGAAACGTTCTTAAACTATTAAATATTAAAAAATAGCTACATTTGAAGCAACTTGAGTTTGTTATTAGCAGACATGGAAGTGTGAAATTTTTAAATTTCATCTCTTAAAAAGCTATGGTTGACTCTGTTACATTTGAGGTTACCACCTAAGAAGAAGGCTAAAGGTAAGTTCAGCACTCAGACTGTACATGACTCTTCGACTACAAAATGTTTAATTGAAGTGAGCTGTTCTTTAGTAATGCCATCATGTTGAAGGTAGTGTGAAGACTCATGACACAGAAAGTGAAATTGTAAAAAGAGAAGCCAAATGGCATTGGAAGACATTTCGCAGAGTATTTAAAAGGGACATGTAACTCTATTATTCTATATCACATGTAAATGAAAGGAATACTTCCACCGTGCGCTTCCTCTCTTGTTGGTCCCAGTCCTCAGTACCTCGTATTGGTTCTCAGAACCTGAAAATCAATGATCAGTTGCTATTGACTTTTACATCTTTGTTGCTTGAACTCGGTTAGTTTATGGCCTAGTACCTACAGGTGTTTGTGTTTGCAGTCTTAGCCATGGCCTCTTCTGATTGATAATGTCAATGAAATCCCACAGATATTTCAGTTTTGTTTCCCTCTTTGACACTTCTTTAGTTTTTTGACTTTGAGAGTTACCTCACGCTGACTCTGACCATAAACCCAGGACTTAATTGTGGTCCAGCTATCATCAGCCTTTTTCTGTATTGAATACAATGTACAAACCAGTAATACGTATGATATTGACTTGTTCATTTTTCAAATAAAATACATACTTTTCTATAGCACTGTTTTCAAAGTAGATGAAGCACTGTAGGGATCTGCATGTTTTGAAAAGAATACTACATCTTTTAAGAATTAAAAGAGAATAAGAAATTCAAAGGGAGTTATTTGCTAAAATAAATACTTTCTAAGGCTTGATTTTATGGCTTTATCCCGTGTTACAATCATCATTTCTTTTCCTTTCTACTGATAAATTTTATCGGTTTTAATCCCAATTTGCAGCACGCATGGGTTACTTCAAAAACTATTTGATTGATAGAAATTTTTCTAAAAAAGGTCTGGCTCCATATTTAAAATATTTTTATCAAAAGTTCACGTATACTTTCAAATATGTTCCCTTTTTTTTGCTACAAGTCAGAAGTTTAAAGATGTCTTATAACGTATATTATTCATATTTTTATATTAATTCAATTATTTATTCAACATAACACTTACTGACTTTATTTTTGAATTGCTAAAATTATTGTAGAAAAGTAAAATACAGCAGCAGGAATGATACATACAATAATTAATATAATATATTATAATGAGATATAATAAAGGCTTTGCTTTTTAGGTGATTCCTAAGTGTCAAAAAATTATACATGAAATTGTTTTCATTATTATAAACAACAGAAGTAATTGTAAAACTATATCCAAGCTTGCGATATATTTTAATTTATTATGAAAACTGAGATAAACCTATCAAATTGTAACCTAACTCCAAAGTAAGTAAATAATTTTATTATCTACTTCCCAAGTAGAATAACAGTACACATAGTTTACATAGTTTATTTTCTAGAAGGAAATAATGTTTCTGCAGTTGTAGCTATAATTTCCTAGCATTGTTCTTTCAGTCTTTTCCTTAAATAAATTTTCTTATTATTGCTCTTACTGATAATTTCCAAAATTTATATGAACAATTTTAATCTCCATGTTTTCCCTCTCTTTCTCCTTCTTCTCCTCTTTCTCTCTGTCTCCTCATCTTCTTTGCCCTCCTCCTCCCCCCCCGGGTCCTCCTCCTATATTGCAAAACATTTGTGTAGTTTTCAATGGCCTACCACTTCTAAAGAAAATGTACTCCTCAAAGAAGTTTCAGTTGGATATCAAGAGAGGAGCAATAGATGAACCAAATCTGGAAAATAGATAGTTTTCAACTACACAAATGGATGGTAAGAATGATACATATTTTTGGACTAAGTTGAAATAAATTAGTTTATGTAATGTAGTACATAAAATTGGTATTAATGACACAGTCTTACAATTTGGTTTAAACCTGCTTTTGTTGGATCTAGAAAATATGATTGCAACAATATATCTGAAATGATGTCATTTTATAATTTCAAGTTCACAATGAATTCTCATTTTTGTTATGTGCACTCTTAAAAAGATGTATTTATATTGTAAAAAAAGTCATCTTTTTATATGACTATTTTTATATGGTCTATAATTTTTGGAGATAAAAGTAATTGTCAGAATTGCAGAAGAATCAAAAGATTGCTCAAGAATGTATTTGCATGAACTGTAAGGGAACATTCAGTTATTTATATATGGGTGATTTCGAAATGGTGATTGTTGGGAAACAGAATTCACAGTGTGTTTCAGTACAGAAAGGAGCAGAGCTTGAAAGGCACCTTATAGAAAAGTGCTCTGGTAACATGCACATTTCTACTTACCAGCTTACCAGAACATTTCTTGATACATGGCCTTTATAAGCTTAAACTCCTGGGTTTTTTAGCTACCAAAGTAGATTTTTGGAGTTTTTGTTTTGTTTAGAGATTGAGGGAGAAAGACACTCATGTATATTTATAGTAGAGGCACCTTTACCTTTTGTAAGCAAAGGTACATTGGTGTTGAGAGCTAATGAGTAAAAGAGCAATATACAAAGGAGACAAAGATGACAGTAGAGGGCAAGTGCACACCTCATGGTACAAATAAGAGAAGGACAAATAGCAATGCAGTAGAGAAATTACATTTCACTCATGGCAGTTTATAGTTGACCTAATGACAAGGTCAAGTATTATGCACTGAGTGTAAAATTAATGTCAAGTCGAAATGGGCTTTTCATCAGGATGGCACTTGCTAATGTAAAACGTTTTAAAAAGAAGCCATCAGCAACACTTGGGAAAAGATAATTCTGAAAGAAGTAATTCATGTCATTTATTTTAAGAGAAAAAAAATAAACCCTTGAGAGCAAAGCTTTCATTTCTGTGTTTAATTTTGAAGAAAAAGAGTCAGTTGCAGACAAAAGTCAGATAGATATCAATAATTATTTCAGTTCACCTAGAACCAGAATAGTAATTTAATTTGTATTAGGGCATTCATTTTGCTGATGAAAGACCTTTGTGTGATGTTCAAACTTAACCAAAATAGCATTTAGTGTCCTAAAAAGAATATGGTAAACAATATAACTTATTTTAATAACACTTGATGTATTAGATGAGTGACAGGTCTACAGCCAGGACTACTTTTCACTCTCCTGGGGACTAATCGGGGCCATACAACTTTTTTATTGACAGAATTTGAGAGAAAATAATAAATGACACTTCTGTATTAAGAAACACAGGAATTGATCATGCTTTCCTTACCTTCTCTTTGCTACTAATTGCAGAGGTTCCAGATGTACTAAGACATGGAAAGAGTTAACGTCTCTGAAATTACCACATTTAGGTCAACTCGCCGCCCCTAAACCAACCTCATTAGAGTGAAATGAGAACAATGAGGTTCTAATTTCTATGGGAATAAACCACTGAAGTTTAAGAATTTTATTTTTATTTTTCATACCTAACTAATACAGTTCTGTGTGCATGCGTGTGTGTAAAAATAGTCCTTAAATAGTTAATTTTCAAGAAGAAAATTTAAATACCTAAAATATAATAAAGATTCCATAGTGATTTGGCAAATAAGTGGGTATCTTCCAGAATCTTCTAGATAGAATTCCCATGTATGGATGGAGTCAATCTGCCTGAATACAACTAATGATGATCAGTACCTTAGAAAATGAGGTCAAGCTGACATTTTCACTTCCCGACTTTTTTCAGTTTTGCAATATTTCCTTTTAATTTTTTATTCAATTTGTACTTTAATGTTCTGACACACTATGTATTTACTTTACCTAGTGGAATTTGAGACACGTGTATTTTCACATATCTGTTTTAAGCTGTCAAATATGTGGTGAAAGTCTCAATAATTGGCCGTCTTATTAAAAAAAAAAAACAGACTAACCACCATGTAGTTCAGCTTCAAAAATGCCAAACTCAAATATCAACTCAAAGAAAGAATCAAGTCAAATTCCATATCAACACATTTTGCAGCCAGCACTGAGCTAGATCACAAAGGCTGATATATGCAGAGTAACGTCAATTATCAGGAGGAAGCCTTCTTTTGTAAAGATCAGGCAGAAAGGAGAGCAATGCCAGGTTACAAAACTAAAAGCCAGTATCATGGCAACACAGTAAGAATGTAACAGACATACACACTCAAAATTTGTATATGCGGTGAAACAACATATTATTTATTAACTGAGCCCCTAACCACATTCATTGTAGTTTTCTTGTTTATTCAGCTTTGATTTGCTCGTTATCATACTTCTTTTCTTTTCTGCCTAACCAACTGTCTTTCAAGGCTGTGCTTATTATGAATGCTCAACAATGTTATTGACATTGTGTTACTTAGAGTCTTTACAAAGACAAATGAGAATTAATCAAAAAGTAGCTATTTTATAGGCTTTATCTGCCAGCTATTATTCTCTAAAGTAGATGAAAATACTTTTTTGTCAGCTTCACGAAGAGAAGTTCTAAAATTTGAATTTGAAAATCCTTTAGAGGAATGTAGTGAGATAACTATCAGAAGTTATGTTAGGAAAAGACCATGCTTAGAGCATTTAAAATAATTTTTACTTGGAACAGTGCATAGAATTGAAGTACGTAGCACATCATCTATGTGACTTACAAAAGACGTCCCATTAAATTGCTCAATATTCTTATAGAAATCTTATTGTATTATTAGCTTTTGTAAAGTGGGATAAAATTTGTTTTAATATGAGAATAAAAAATAAATTATAAAATGTTATCATAGTTTCCAAAACTAAAAGATATGTGAATTGAATCTACAACACGGGTTTTAAATGAGAAGCAGGAGTGTGATTGCTGTGTGGAGTGTATATGAAGAACCAGAAAATATTGTTGTGTTTTCATTTTTGTTTTCAAATTAATATTACCAAATCATATTATTCTTTTCTTCTGGGGATCCTTAATTAGCTTTGCCAGTTTAAAAAAGAAGAATAGTTTACTAATCTCTCCAGGGGATTATATGTGTTCTTCTGCATTTTCTAAGGGTGTGATGCATTTTAAAATTTGAAGAACTTTCATTTGTATGGGTAATGTATGAGAATTATAGCATGTACTGATGAGGAAATGTGCTATAGCCTCAACTGACCAAATAGAAGAATAAATGTAGCACAGAGAAAAGCTAACAGTGTCTTGTATTTTTAATGATTTAGGTAAGTAAATGCATTAAAATGGTTTTGTTTAACTTGGCATATTAGTTCTCAAGGTGCTGATAAAGACATATCCAAGACTGGGTAATTTATAAACGAAAGATGTTTAATTGACTCACAGTTCCACAGGGTTGGGGAGACCTCGGGAATCTTACAATCATGGCAGAAGGGGAAGGAAACATGTCCTTCTTCACATGGCAGCAGCAAAGAGAAGTGCCAAGCAAGAGGGGAAAAGCACCTTATGAAACCATCGGATCTCTTGAGAACCTACTTACTTACTGTCAAGAGAACAGCATCACGGTAATTACCCCATATGATTACATTACCTCCCATTGGGTCACTACCAGAACACATGGGGATTATGGGAGCTACGATTCAAGATGAGATTTGGGTGGGGACACAGCCAAACTGTATCATCCCACCTTTGGTCCCTCCAAAATCTCATGTGCTCACATTTTAAAATACATTGATGCCCTTCCAAAAGTCCCCCCAAATCTTAACTAATTCCAGCATTGACTCAAAAGCCCAAATCCAAAGTCTCATATGAGACAAGGCAAGTCCTTTCCACTTATGAGCCTATAAAATTAAAAGCAACTTAGTTACTTCCTAGATACAATGATGGTACAGGCACCTTGGGTAAATACAGCCATTCCAAATGGGAGAAAATGGCCAAAACCAAGGGGCCACAGACCCCATAAATGTCTGAAATCCAATAGGGAAATCATTAAAACTTAAAGTTTCAAAATGATCTTCCTTGACTCAATGTCTTACATCCAGGTCATGCTGATGCAAGAGGTGGGCTCCCACAGCCTTGCACAGCTCGGCCCCTGTGGCTCTGCAGGGCAAAGCCCCCCTCCCGGCTCTTTTCATGGGCTGGTGTTGAGCGCCTGTGGCTTTTCCAGGTTCACAGTGCAAGCTGTCGGTGAATCTACCATTCTGGGGTCTGGAGGTCGGTGGCCTTCTCACAGCTCCACTAGGCAATGCCCCAGTGGGGACTCTGTGTGGGGGCTCCAATCTCACATTTCCCTTCCTCACTGCCCTAACAGAGTTTCTCCATGAGGGTTCCATCCCTGCAGTAGCCTTCTGCCTGGACATCCAGGCATTCCATACATCCTCTGAAATCTAGGCAGAAGTCCCCAAACCTCAATTGTGGACTTCTGTTCACCCGCAGGTCCAACACCACATGGAAGTTGCCAAGGCCTGGGGCTTGCACCGTCTGAAGCAATGGCCTGAGCTGTACATTTGCCCCTATTAGTCATGGCTGGAGCAGCTGGGACACAGGGCACCAAGTCCCAAGGCTGCACACAGCAGCAGAGACCTGGACCCAGCCCAGGTATGGACTTTTCCCCTAGGCCTCCAGGGAAGGCCTCTTTTCCCTAGACCTCCATGCCTGTGATGGGAAGGGCTGTCATAAATGTCTGTGATATGCACTGGAGACATTTTTCCCATCCCTTTGGTGATTAACATTCAGCTCTTCATTACGTATGCAAATTTCTGAAGTGGGCTTGAATTTCTCCCCAGCAAATGGGTTGTTCTTTTCTATCTCATCATCAGCCTGCAAATTTTCTAAAGTTTTATGCTCTGTCACCTCTTGAATGCTTTGCTGCTTAGAAATTTCTCCTGCCAGATAACCTAAATCTTTCTCTCAAGTTCAAATTTCCACAGATCTCCAGGGCAGGGACAAAATGCCACCAGTCTCTTCACTAAAGCATAACAAGAGTCACCATTGCTCCAGTTCCCAAAAAGTTTCTCATCTTCATCTGAGACCACCTCAGCCTGGACTTTATTGTCCATACAATCATCAGCATTTTGGTTTGGTCAAAGTCATGCAATAAGTCTCTAGGAAGTTCCAAACTTTTCCGCATCTTCTTGTCTTCTGAGACCTCTAAGTCTCTAGGAAATTCCAATTTTTCCCACATTTTCCTGTCTTCTGAGCTCTCCAAAGTGTTCCAACCTCTGCCTGTTACCCAGCTCCAAAGTTGCTTTCTCACTTTCAGGTATCTTTACAGCAGTGCTCCACTACCCATTACCAATTTACTGTATTAGTTCATTCTCATGCTGCTAATAAAGACATACCTAAGACTGGGTTATTTATAAAGGAAAGAGATTTAATTGACTCATAGTTCCACAGGGTTGGGAAGGTTTCAGGAAACTTACAATCATGGTGGAAGGGGAAGAAAACATGTCCTTCTTCACATGATGGCAGCAAGGGGAAGTGCCAAGCAAAAGCAGCAAAAGCCTCTTATAAAACCATCAGATCTCTTGAAAACTCACTCACTATAATGAGAAGAACATGAAAGTAACCACCTCCATGATTCAATTATCTGCACTGGGTTCTTCTCATGACACATGGGGATTATGAGAACGAAAATTCAAGATGAGACTTGGATGGGGAAACAGCCAGTCCATATCATTGGTTCTTTCTCTCATTTTTAATTTTATCTACTTTATTCCACTTATAATGAAGAGATTTTCTAGCTAAATCTTTCCAACTTAGCAAATGAGAAAAAAGAATTTTTTAAAATTTACTTGGAATAAATACTTATGAAGGGATTCAATATTTTTTTCAAAATGAAAATATGGAAGACTTTAAAAATATATTATATTATTTATTTTTTACAGCCCTGTTAGGCGTGTTTGATGCTTTGAGAAGTATATAGGTGTGGGAGAGGCAACGTACATGCACAAGAAAGAAGACAGATAAATTAGGACCCAGAACAGGCAGCAGCAGATGAAATGCAGGATAGTTGCAGAAGCTAACAGTATATGGAGTGAAGTGCATATAAAGAAGGAATCACCCTGGCTATGTACAGTGTTGCTTACCAGTGGGTACACATTCTGAGGAATGTGTTCTTAGGCAACTTTGCCTTTGTTCAAACATCACAGAGTATACTCACACAAAACTAGATAGGGTGGCCTACTCCACACTCAGGCTATATGGTATAGCCTTTTGCTTCTAGGCTACAGACAGTACAGCATGTTAGTCTACTCAATTCTGTAGTACAGCATGTTACTACTGTACTAAGAGTACAGCATATTACTCTACTCAATAATGTAGGCAAGTGTAACAAAACGATATTTGTGTATATAAATTAATCTTAACATAGAAAAGGTACAATAAAAATATGGTATAAAAGATAAAGAGTGCTACACATGTATAGGGCACTTAGGATGGATGGAGCTTGCAGAAATAGAAGTTGCTCTGAGTGAGTCAGTAAGTGAGTGATAAACGAATATGAAATCCTAGGGTAATAATGTACACTACCATAGACTTTATAAACATTGTACACTTGGGCCGTACTAAATTTCTAAAAAAATAATTTTCATTCAATAGTAAGTTAAACTTTGCTTACTGAAACTTTATTTTATAAACTTTTAAATTATTTTAGCATTTTGATTCTTTTTTACAACACATCTTAAAACACAAACACATTTTACAACTGTACAAAAATATTTTCATTCTTTTATTCATGTTCTATAAGCTTTTCCCTAGTTTAGTTTCTTTAATTTTTATTGTTTACTTTTTAAACTTTTTTGTTGAGAAGTAAGACACAAACATACACGCTATTCTAAGCCTATACACACAAGGTAAGGGTCATCAGTATCACTGTCTTCCACTTCCAAATCCTGTCCCCCTGGAAGGTCTTCAGGGACAATAACACACATGGAGCTGTCATCTGCTAAGATAACAATGCATTCTTCCACAAAGCTTCCTGAAGGACCTGCCTGCGGCTGTATTACATTTACTTTCTTAAAAAAATAGGTAGAAGCAGTACATTCTGAAATAATCATAAAATGTATAGTGTAATAAATACATAAACCAGTAATAGGGTAACATGTATTATGATTATATTTGTATGTTTTATACTTTTATATGACTGGCAACATAGTAGTTTTTTACACCAATGTCATCACAAAGAAGTGACTAATGTGTTATGTTACGGTCAGCATTATGATGACTATGACATCCCTACGGTATAGAATTTTTAGGCCTCATTATTATTTTATGGGAACATCATCAAATATGTGTTCTATTGTTCACGAAATCTCATTATGAGGCACATAAATATTTTGTGTCAAGAGGAAATAAAGAAGTAAATGTGGAGGCAGCTAGAGTCATAGGTTTAGGGTCCAGAAGTTAAGAAAAAAATTTATATATATTTATTATCTCCAAGACATGTAAGACTAGAAAAAAAAAAGGAGGGTAAAAGAATACAGGATTTAAGGCCAGGGATGATAGCTCACACCTGTAATCCCAGGACTTTGGGAGGTCGAGGAGGGTGGATCACCTGATGTCAGGAGTTTGAGACTACCCTGGCCAACATGGTGAAACCCTGTCTCTACTAAAAATACAAAAATTAGTCAGGCATGCTGGTGGGCACCTGTAATCTCATGAGGCAGGAGAATTGCTGGAACCTGGGAGGTGGAGGTGGCAATGAGCAGATATCGCACCATTGCACCCCATTCTGATTCTGGGCGACAACAGCCAGACTTCGTCTCAAACAAACAAAGAAACAAACAAACAAGGAATATGGGATTTTAGGAGAATAGAGAAGGTATAATCAAGTTCTGGTCTAGAAATTATGGAAACTCATTTATAAATATTTATTATCTCCATGACATGTAAGACTAGAAACAAAAGGAGGGTAAAAAAATGTCGGATTTGAGGAGAATAGAGAAGATATAATCGAGTTATTTTAGAAAGTAGAAAAAGAAATACAACAAAATGTCCCTTTGTTGTTGTTGAGCACTCAGTTGAAGCTGCTTATTTATATTTTATTTATTGTGGTGTATACACAGTAAAGAGCTCCACAAGCCAGAGAGGGAGGAGAAATGGAAATAACCAGAGCTATGAATATATTAAATGGGTCTATCATGAAGGAAAAGCAGAAGCCAGTTAAGGGGATTTGTTTTTCATTATCCTACAATAGAATACATAAGAGAATTAGGTGGAAACTACAGTGGTTAGACTACAAAATGAAGAAGAGAAATGAAAAGGTAAAGTTAACACTTTTAATTGATCACAGAAGTTTTATCAACTCAGACCAAATAAATATATGGTATTTTGAAAGTTGTATTATGAAGTTCTTAATTACCTATATACAGAATTGCAATATATTATTGATGTGTTATCTTTAAAATGCAATATACAGCAAAAGTATTGTTAAAAATTATATTTGAAAGGTTTCTGTAAAACACGAATTTCAAATTCAGTAACAAGAACTAAGAAAATTATACACCTTGTCTAAAAAATCACCCTCTGGAATGGTCAACAAATGGCTGTTTCATGTAATCATGCTCATGGGGATTATTTAGCAAAGTTTTGTGGTTTTAGCCATATTTTATCATAGTTTGAGCAATGTTGTAAGGGATATGAATCAATCAGGCAAGATTAGCTTATGTGGCAATAACAAACAACCACTAACACTCAGTGGCTTAAAGCTACAATGGTTGTATATTTTTCTTTCGTTTCTTAATTTCTCACCCAAGTTACATTTTTAAAAATAGTCATTTAGAGTCCCTGAACTGTGTCACTATCCTCCTAATAAAGTAGCCACTATCAGAAATGTTCTCTCTAGAGGGAAACAAATAAACAAACAATGTCACAAAGCATTCCCTGAATTTTAAATAGATTTAAATCACCTGGAAATTTAAATTGCTTGTAAATGAGACAAATCATTTCTGGTCCCATTTCACTGGAAATAATCACAAGAAGAAACAACTTCAAAAAGATGGGAAAATGCAACATACAAAGTGACTAAAAAGAAAAAAGAGCTAGCATATTTGTGAAGAAATCTAATATGTATTAGACTCTCCATAAAATAAAAGACATTGAAACTTCTTATTGTGTAAATGTCAAGGTTCTGAGGTAAACATTAATTTTTCTGTGAGTCTTACAGGTTAGAAAATTAATATACTTTTCATTTTCTCATATCAACTAAACATCAAAGTTGAATTTGGATTCAAACTGCCATTTAGCAACTGGTTGAGAAAAAATGATTTTTTTCGAAGTTAAAAATGAAGGAAGATTCTTTGTAGAGCTAACTGAATGGAAATGGCACCATAAATTTGATTCCAGCTCTCTTGAAAAGAAATTCCACATTTATGTGCTTCTGTAATTAGTTCCAATCAGCACACTATAAATATGTAAGGATTTTACCCATCTATTACTTGCATCTTTGGTTTAAAGCTCTTCAGTTGAAATGGCAAACACAAATTCTGAGCAGGTAATACATCAATGTGGATTTGTCTAAGACTTAAAAGCTACAGACAATTCTTCCTTTGTTCTTGAGTTTTAGTCTTATTTATCCTTCTATTGAATACAGTAATCATTTCTGTCTAAAATAAGAGATAGTAAAAGAGATGATATTAACTTAGAATTGAAAAGAAATGAATTTTAGTTATCATGAGGGCCTTGGAGTTAGGGATAAATCCTCATTACTAATAACCTAAAATATTCATTAAATGACAGTGATAGAAAAATGAGAAGAGAAAGAGTGTATATTATATATATAGGAGAAAGAGTGTTGGGGTTTCTAATAATACTTTGCCTTTCTTATGCTACTGTTCTCCTATTTAAGTCAGTGACTTTCAGTGCATTTGCAACCATAAAATATTTAACAACTTTCACATACATCCAGCAGCAGCAAATAATATACCTTCACATTGATCCTCTTAAAGGTTTAGAGATGAGTTGGGGCATGTCACTTCAGAGATGCTTGGCATCTTAAAATGTTCTCAGGATGGTGATGCTTGAAAATATGTAGTTGGAAAATACTCCCTCACACATGTGATCCTGATATACCTACCTTCAACTCAGTTACTTTCATTGAAAATAAATAAAAACTATTCCAACACCAATTTTCTTCATATGTAAATCAGAAGGTCAAGAACAGAAATTTTAGTGGCTTCATATTTCTAGAGGTTGTTTGAATGTCATGTTAAAAGATTATATGACTTTAGTACTTTCAAATCTGTGTCACCCAATGTGACTATATAAGTAAATAATCCCTACAACAACAACTACAACAACAACAACAATACAACAAAAAAGAACAGCAAGTAATAATTTCAGTATAATCGGGCTAGGCAAGGTTAGGTACAATCTAACATATCTACTTGCAATTTGTGAAATTATTTTACTTTAGACAATGAGATTTTGATCTCAAAATCAGTTTAAATTTAGCGGGAATTTTTTTCTTCTTTTTTTTCTTTTTTTTTTTTTGTTTTGAGTCTCGCTCTGTAACCCGGGCTGGAGTGCAGTGGCGCAATCTGGGCTCACTGCAAGCTCCGCCTCCCGGGTTCACGCCATTCTCCTGCCTCAGCCTCCCGAGTAGCTGGGACTACAGGCACCCACCACCATGCCGGGCTAATTTTTGTATTTTTAGCACAGATGGGGTTTTGCCATGTTGGTCAGGCTGGTCTCGAATTCCTGACCTCAGGTAATCTGCCCACCTCGGCCTTTCGAAGTGCTGGGATCACAGGCGTGAACCACCGCGCCCGGCCTTTTAGTGGGAATTTCTTCGGGAGCACATCACCTTTATAGATAGTATAGATATTCAAATATTGTATTCTCAAGAGTGTTGTTGGTATCTTAATCTAGGCTTAAGCATTTTCTAAGGTATCAACTACCTATTCATTCATTTAACATATATTTATTGAGTACCTCTTATGAGCAGGCATTGGTCATGTATAAGAAGGTAAGAAAAGTTGATAGATTCTACCCTTTGACAGTTCACAGTCTAGGGGCAGAACACAAATACTCACCCAAGTAAATTCAAAATTAGAAAATTGAAATAATTGTGATAAAAGTCCAAAATATTATTCATAACACATGAAGTGCACCTCACTAATTTGGAAGCTAATGAAGGTTTTCTGCAAAAGCATACCTTTTAAGCTGTAAAAATGAAGAACTGTTAGAAGTTAAACAGACAAAGTTTAATGTTTGAGAAAGAAATAGAGCTCTTCAGAGGACATTTCTAGCAAGAGAACAATAGACAGGAAAGCCAATATCACAGGAAAGAGCATTGAATGTTTGAGAAACCCACACCTGTCCGGTGAAGTTGGAGCATAGACAGCTGGGAACAAAAAGTATGAGATAAAGTGAAAAGATTTTCAAGGAATAGAAAGTACTGGATTTTGTAGGCCAAGTTAAATGTTTGTGTTTTTAGTCTATGAATAATAAGATGTAAAATACATTTTACAAATTCAGTGATATTACTAGATTTACATTTTAAAAAGATAATTTTGTTTGCAGTGTAAAAACCAATCAGATTTGTGGGACAGAGTAAGCTATGTAATGTATAAAGTACAGCGTTTCCATCACCTTGCAATAATCATAACACTATTATAGAGGGATTTTTTAATATAAAAATAAAAGTAATACCCACATAGAATAAGTATTTTTTTAAAAAACATTTTTTTTGAATCATTGTGGAAGTTTTCTATCTGAATACATGCATGTGCCCAATCTCTGAAAAGAAAGCAACAAATTAAAATCGTTATGTGATTCAAAAATAAACAACAGAACTAGAGGATGGTGGGAAAATAAGATTCTTCAGAGGTCTTCCTGCTGCCGAAATGTCAACATGAACAACTATCTACACTCAAAAGTAACTTCACAAGAGCTAAGGAAACCAGCTGAGAGATCACAATACCTGACTGCACCACAGTCATAAGAAAAGACACATTGAAAAGGCATTGAAGAGAGTAGGAAAGACTGTTTTACACTAACCGTATCAACCCTCCCCTCAGCCCCAGGCAGTACACCATGGAAAGAGATACCCTTTGCTTCGGGGAAAGAGAGGAAAGTGAGCACAGGACTTTTCCCTGGACTTCAAAAGGTGATCCCCGGCCAGGCACGGTGGCTCATGCCTGTAATCCCAGCACTTTGGGAGGCCGAGGCGGGTGGATCACGAGGTCAGGAAATCGAGTCCATCCTGGCTAACATGGTGAAACCCCGTCTCTACTAAAAATACAAAAAAATTAGCCAGCTGTGGTGGCGGGCGCCTGTAGTCCCAGCAGCTACCTGGGAGGCTGAGGCAGGAGAATGGCATGAACCCAGAAGGCGGAGCTTGCAGTGAGCCGAGATCGTGCCACTGCACTTCAGCCTGGGCGACAGAGAAACTCCATCTCAAAAAAAAAAAAAAGAAATGAAAGAACTTTCCAGATAAATAAAAGCTGAGGCAGTAAGCTTCATGAGAACCATCTTTTATACATATATATAATTAAACTTTAAGTTCTATCAATAATAGACTGTATAAAGAAAATGTGGCATATATACACCATGGAATACTATGCAGCCATAAAAAACGATCAGTTCATATCCTTTGCAGGGACATGGATGAAACTGGAAACCATCATTCTCAGCAAAGTAACACAAGAAGAAAAAAACCAATCATCGCATGTCTCACTTATAAGTGGGAGTTGAACAATGAGAAATCATGGAGACAGGGAGGGGAACATCACGCACCGGGGGTGGGGGACTGGAGGAGGGATAGCATTGGGATAAATACCTGAAGTAAATGATGAGTTGATGAGTACATCAAACCAACATGGCACATGTATACCTATGTAACAAGCTTGCCTGTTGTGCACATGAGACCCATCTTATGAGAAAGGATAAAGGAAGTCTTCAAGTTCAAAGAAAAAAAGATACTAATGAGTAACATAAAAACATCTGAAAGTATAAAACTCACTGAAAAAAGTAAGCACATAGTTAAATTCAGAATACTCTACTACTGTAATGCTGATGTGTAATTCACTTATATCTGTAATATAAAGGTTAAAAGATAAAACTATTAAAAATAGAATTGCTATAATAATGTTTTAAGCAATATGAAATATAAAAAGATGTAAATCATCACACAAAAATGTAAAATATTATGGAAGTGGAGTAAAAGTATAAAGGTATTTTATGTGATCAAACTTAAGTTATTATTCGCTTAAATAAGCTGTTTAATGTGTAATTTTTAAAGCTTCATGGTAACTACAGCAAAGACTTATAGTAGATACACACAAAAAAATGAAATTCAAAAAATAAAAATATACCACTGGAGAAAATTACTTAACAGTAAAGGAAGATAATAGCAAAAAAGGAAGAAAGGGAAAAAGGATCTACAAAACAAGTAGAAAAAAATAGCAAATCAGCAGTATAAAGTCAATATATAGCAATAATCACTTTTAAAATAAAAGGATCTAATTCTCCAACAAAAAGACATTTAGCTAAAGAATGGATGAAAAGTAAACATAACCCAACTGTGTGCTGTCTATAAGAGACTCACTTCAGATGTAAAGACACACATAGACTGAAAGTGAAGAAATGGAAAAACGTATTCTGTTCAAATAGAAATCAAAAGAGATGAGAATACCTGTATTAGATAAAATATGTTTAAATCAAAAACTGCAAAAAGAGACAAAGAAGATCATTATACAACAATAAAAGGGTCAATTCAAAAAGAATGACTAAAATGTGCAAATTAGTAAACATATCACACACACACACAAATAAACAAAACCACAAATAATTGACATAACATATTGTATAGGGAAAGACATATTCAAAATTGATGGGTATTTTGTTTGTTTGTTTGTTTTTGTGGAAGCAGTAGTTTGGAACACTTTTGTACCTATCATGGAATTGTAACTTTCGCAAAACTCGGAAGACATGTTTGTTACAAACCCAATAGTACATATTATATTATATTTTATCATATTATGCTATAGTATAGTATATCATATTACAGTTTACATTATGTTATGCTACATTATACATTAAATAGCATTTTGTTACATTATGTGATAAAAGTTTTATTTCTCTCTGTATACTAATATGAATATTTTTGTACTAAAACAGTCAAATTTATTTGTATAAACAATTGTAAAATTTAAGTCTAATTGGTACAAGTCAATAGAGGCTTATCCTATTACTAAAATATTGTTAACAAGAAAATAAACGTGTAAAAAAATACAATTCTTGTCTAATTTGGCAATGGTCATATGACTTCAGTAAAAGTCCAAAACATGCCATTTTAAGTTATTACCTGTTAATAACTTAAGATAATTTTATTAAGTATTAATAAAATGTAATGTATGACAAACATGTCATCAGGAACTACAAAAGGACACTCATTTTAAAGAAATGTTAAAAATAAGTAAATGATGACATTCAAAAGCCAAATTTTCATTCTCTTTTAATCATAAAAGCAAAAATAATGAAGTCTCAGGGACCATCCTCCAATTTCTGTTCATATATTCTGGAAGGCCAAGAATGACCTCCAGATGAGGTCATAATTGTCCAATTTATAATTTCGTATAAAATGATCTTTCTCACCCTTGGTGGTCTCCATTAATACATTAAGTTATGGCAGGTATTAATTAATCATGGGTGCCCTTTTCTTGACATAGTGAATCTCAAAAATACTTTGTGCATCCCTAGATTAGGGACTCTGAGAAAATGCTAAAATCAAGAATAGGAATTACTTAATGATTTCATTAACCTCAAAGTAATGTCTGATTTGTTATGAAGCTATAATTCACAACAGTCATGTTAGAAACAAGTTCAAATCAGGTGACTTAGTATTTATCGAGTGGACCATCTAGCATGAGCATTCAGAAAGTAAATGAACACAAGTATAAGCCATTACAGGACTTGAAGTCATATTTCTCTACAGAACAGGCACTTACAATTTTAAATTTATAACCATTACTAGATATTCTATATGATTATTTCTATCAACATCAAACTGAGTTATTCAGATAAGTGAATGTTGTGTTTTAAAATGTTCTAAATCAAGCAAATGGAAAACAAAAAAAGGCAGGGGTTGCAATCCTAGTCTCTGATAAAACAGACTTTAAACCAACAAAGATCAAAAGAGACAAAGAAGGCCATTACATAATGGAAAAGGGATCAATTCAACAAGAAGAGCTAACTATCCTAAATATATATGCACCCAATACGGGAGCACCCAGATTCATAAAGCAAGTCCTGAGTGACCTACAAAGAGACTTAGACTCCCACACATTAATAATGGGAGACTTTAACACCCCACTGTCAACATTAGACAGATCAACGAGACAGAACCTTAACAAGGATACCCAGGAATTGAACTCAGCTCTGCACCAAGCGGACCTAATAGACATCTACAGAACTCTCCACCCCAAATCAACAGAATATACATTCTTTTCAGCACCACACCACACCTATTCCAAAATTGACCACATAGTTGGAAGTAAAGCTCTCCTCAGCAAATGTAAAAGAACAGAAATCATAACAAACTGTCTCTCAGACCACAGTGCAATCAAACTAGAACTCAGGATTAAGAAACTCACTCAAAACCGCTCAACTACATGGAAACTGAACAACATGCTCCTGAATGACTACTGGGTACATAACGAAATGAAGGCAGAAATAAAGATGTTCTTTGAAACCAACGAGAACAAAGACACCACATACCAGAATCTCCGGGACACATTCAAAGCAGTGTGTAGAGGGAAATTTATAGCACTAAATGCCCACAAGAGAAAGCAGGAAAGATCCAAAATTGACACCCTAACATCACAATTAAAAGAACTAGAAAAGCAAGAGCAAACACATTCAAAAGCTAACAGAAGGCAAGAAATAACTAAAATCAGAGCAGAACTGAAGGAAATAGAGACACAAAAAACCCTTCAAAAAATTAATGAATCCAGGAGCGGGTTTTTTGAAAGGATCAACAACATTGATAGACCGCTAGCAAGACTAATAAAGAAAAAAAGAGAGAAGAATCAAATAGACGCAATAACAAATGATAAAGGGGATATCACCACCGATCCCACAGAAATACAAACTACCATCAGAGAATACTACAAACACCTCTATGCAAATAAACTAGAAAATCTAGAAGAAATGGATAAATTCCTCGACACATACACTCTCCCAAGACTAAACCAGGAAGAAGTTGAATCTCTGAATAGAACAATAACAGGATCTGAAATTGTGGCAATAATCAACAGCTTACCAACAAAAAAGAGTCCAGGACCAGATGGATTCACAGCCGAATTCTACCAGAGGTACAAGGAGGAGCTGGTACCATTCCTTCTGAAAATATTCCAATCAATAGAAAAAGAGGGAATCCTCCCTAACTCATTTTATGAGGCCAGCATCATCCTGATACCAAAACCGGGCAGAGACACAACCAAAAAAGAGAATTTTAGACCAATATCCTTGATGAACATTGATGCAAAAATCCTCAATAAAATACTGGCAAACCGAATCCAGCAGCACATCAAAAAGCTTATCCACCATGATCAAGTGGGCTTCATCCCTGGGATGCAAGGCTGGTTCAATATACACAAATCAATAAATGTAATCCAGCATATAATAGAACCAAAGACAAAAACCACATGATTATCTCAATAGATGCAGAAAAGGCCTTTGACAAAATTCAACAACCCTTCATGCTAAAAACTCTCAATAAATTAGGTATTGATGGGACGTATCTCAAAATAATAAGAGCTATCTCTGACAAACCCACAGCCAATATCATACTGAAGGGGCAACAACTGGAAGCATTCCCTTTGGAAACTGGCACAAGACAGGGATGCCCTCTCTCACCACTCCTATTCAATTTACATTCTTTTAAAATATTCAATCCTGTCCTTATTCTAAAAATATAGCACATATATTTAATACGTAAAATGTGCAACAAAAAAGAAGCTAGCATATATTGTTGTTTCATCATAGTGATTAAATATTTATACTTGGGTATTATGTCATTCTTTTAACCATGAATGTTATCATGAGTATATAGATGGTTTTACCATTTTAACTAATCAAAATGTCATCATCATCTACCAGAACTGCTTTGGTTTTTTTTTTTTTTTTTTTTTTTTGTCTCCAAGATAGCTGACTAGAAGCATTTCAAGCATTCCTCCTCCGTTTGGCAGAACCAAAATAGTATGTAGACAATCACACTTTGAACACATTATTCAGGAAGGAACACAGGAGTTCAACAGAAAGTTGAATGGAAGTCTTCAAATCTGGGAGGAAAAAAGAAAATGGGCAGCCTGAGTGGCCAGCATCAGCCAGGAGTTGGGTGCGAATCCTCAACATGGGAAAGGGTAAGTGAGTGTGCTTTTGTGGTTCACTTTCCTGCTGGGGAATTGTGCAAGTTGAGGAACAAGGGGAGAACCTGACCCTCCCAATCCCTGAATCTAACTTGAGAAGCAGCCAGAAGACTGTGAGAAGGAATTGCTTCAGGAGTGTCTCATGCACTTTTACAGACCTGGGATGCCATTCTTGAGCCTAGCTCTGAGCCAACTGTGCATGGTCCTTGAGAGTAGCAGCATTGGTCCTGGCTGTTAGGGATGCGTAGGAGGCCATTATGGAAATGGAACTTTACTGCAGGATGGGTTACCACAAGTAGTTCTGAGAATTGAGTGTGGAGTAGGATCTAGCCACTGGTGGAGCTGGGCACCCTGAGGATTGCCTTGTCCTGTCCTGACAAGGGTGGTGCCTGTGCCTGCCATTAGGAGGCCTGGGTTCAAGGTCGTCTGGTTCAGCTCTGCCAAACTTCTCCCCATTCTCTGAAACAGTGTGGGATCCATGCTTATGGGTGTTCCACAAATCAATCCACCATGTGGGACACCCAAGCACTTCCCTCAGGGAACACAGGTCAGATTTATACATCCTACCACTACCCCCACAGCTGTATTATTATTATTATTTTTTATCTGCAAGTGCCACCTACTGGCCTAGAGGATAGCCCATATATTTCATTACCATTATAACAGCTGCTAGGACAAAAACACTCAGGAACTACAAAAGGATCTCATGACCACTGCTACTGCCATCACCCACCACACCACAGGTTCCAAGGATGCCAAAAGCCCACCCACCTCCTTACCGCACCACTGCTACTACTGGCATCTGAGAAAGCCACTCAGAAGCCCAGGAACCAGCCTGCCTGGAACTGCCACCTCAGGTGCCAGCATACATTACCCCAGGTCACAATGATAAACATGCTGAGCCCACCACTACTACCAACGAAACCTGAAGAACTTATTAGGCATTCCAGTCCTCAGCACAACTTCCCCACATCTCCCACCCATGGCTGCACCCTAACTCGCTGAGCAATCCACAGATACCAAGGCTATGTATAGCCAAAGAAATCTTACACAGTTTTCATCACTGCAAAGAACCAGAGCCAAATGCCATACCAAGTAAATATCATAGTAATATGTTCAAGAAAAAAAAAATCCCCTCCCATGAAAGTAATTTTAAATTAAAAAGAAGCAACTATTACTCCAGAGCAAAAATCAAAGTAATATGACACCTTCAGAGAAACACAATAGTTCTCCAGCAATAGGTGTTAACAAAAAAAAAATCATTGAAATGTCATATAATAAATTCAAAACATTGGTTTTAAAGAAGTTCAATGAGATGCAAGAGAAATTTAAAAACCAATACAAAAAAATAAAAAAAATAAATTCAGGATATAAATGAGAAATTTACCAGGGAGATTTATATCTGAAAAAAAAAAAACCAACAATTCACACACACTCACACACACACACACACACACACACACACACACGTACACACATACAAAAATTCTAAACCTCAAAACTTTATTGAATTAATTTTTAAAAATTTCAAAAGTCTCAACCATGATAAGATCAAGCAAAATAATTTCACAACTTCAGAAAAGGTCTTTTGAAATAATGCAGTCAGACAAAAATATAGAACAAAGAAATTAAAAAGAATGTGCATAGGCTTCAACACATTTGAGACTACATCAAGCAATTGAACTTAAGAATTATATTCCCCGGGGTGAATACAAATTAAAATATTTTGAAGACCTATTTAATAAAATAATTAATGAAAATTTCCCAAGTCTAGCAAGAGATTTAGACATCCAGATATAGTAGGACCAATAATCCCTAGGAAATTTATGGCAAAAAGGGACTTACCACAAACTGTAATCAGTCTAAAGCCAAAGTGAAAGAAAGGATTCTAAAATTAACAAGAGAAAAGCATCTAGTCGCTTATAAAGAAAGCCCATCAAACTAACAAGCAGACATCTCAGCAGAAATCATACAGGATGGAAGAGAATGGGAAAGCAGGTCAGAATTGCTGAAAGAAATAAAACTTCTAGCCCAGAACTCTATACCGAGCAAAATAAAGGTTTATAAATGAAGGAGAAATAAAATCTTTTCCAGCCACACAAATGTTGAGGGAATTCATCACCACCAGACTAGTCCTACAAGAAATAATCAAAAGAGTCCTAACTAGAAATGAAAGAATAACATTCACCACTCTAACAACATATGAATGTATAAAACTCACAGGTAAAGCAATCGCACACAAAAAAAGAGAAATAAATCAAATAATAAGGGGCCAGGTGCAGTGGCTCATGCCTGTAATCCCAGCACTTTGGGAGGCTGAGGTGGGCAGATCACTTGAGGTCGGAGGTGGTGGTGGGCACTTGTAGTCCCAGCTACTTGGGAGGCTGAGGCAGAAGAACCACTTGAACCCAGGAGGTAGATGTTGCAGTGAGCCGAGATCGTGCCACCGCACTCTAGCCTCGGCGACAGAGTGAGACTCAGTAAAAAAAAAAAAGAGAGAAAAAGAAAGAAAGAAAGAAAGAAAGAAAGAAAGAGAGAGAAAGAGAGAGAGAGAGAGAGAAAGAAAGAAAAGAAAGAAAGGAGAGAAAGAAAGAAATCAAATAATAATACTACAGAGTTCCACTGAATCAAAGATAAGTAGACATAGAAAAAAAATAAAAAACAATTAAGAATATAACAGGAACAAAACTTTACGTATCAGTTTTAACCATGAACGTAAATTGATTAAGTGTTCCACTTAAAAGATATAGATTGACATAACTGATTAAAAAATCATAATGTAACTATATACTGCTAACAATAAATTCACCTTACCTGTAAAGACACAGAAAGACTGAAAGTAAAGGTGTGGAAAAAGATATTCCACACAAACAAAACACAAAATTAAGCATAACTGTGTTAATATTAGATAAAACAGGCTTTAAATTGAAACCAGTTTTTAAAAAAGTCATTATATAATGATAAAGCTATCAATTCAGCAAGAGAATATAATAATTCAAATATATGTACCCATTTGTATATGTACCAGATTCATAAAACAAATGTTACTAGACCTAAAGAAGGAGATGGACAGCAATAAAATAATAGTGAGGATTTCAACATCCCACTCAAATCCTAGACAGATCATCAAGACATAAAATCAACAACAAAAAAAAAACCACTGGATTTAAATTGCACATTAGACCAAATAGACCTAATATGCATTTATAGAATATTCTACCCAACAACCACATAATATAGATAGTTCTCATCAGCACATGGAATATTCTCTTAGATAGACTAAATATTAGGCCACAAAACAGGTCTCAACAAATTAAAAGCAAAATAGAAATCATATCAAGTATTTACTCAGACCACAGTGGCATACAAGTAGAAAACAACACCAAAGAAATCTTTGGAAATTATATAAATACATGGAAATTATCAAACACATTTATGAATGACCATTGGGCCAACAAATAAGATGGAAATGTAAAAATTTATTGAAATAAATAAAAATGGAAATATAGCTTACCAAACCTGCTGAGATACAACAAAAGTAGTGCAAAGAGTGAAGTTTACAGCCTTAAATGCTTACATAAGAAGTAGAAAGATTAAAAATAAACAATGAAACATCACAACTCAATGAACTAGAAAAGCAAGAATAAACCAAACCCAAAATTTGCTAAAGAAAATAAATCAGAAACATAAAAGATATAAAGATATAAAGAAAAAATTACAAAGGATTAAAGAAATAAACAGTTGGTTCATCAAAAAGATGAAAACAATTGATAAACTCCTAGCTAGTCTAACCAAGAAAATAAGAATAAAGATCTAAATAAACAAAATCAAATATAACAAAAGACATTACAACTGATACCACATAAATACAAAGATCATCAGAGACTATTACCAACTCTATGCTCACAAACTGGAAAACCTAGAGGAAACAGAAAAATTCCCCAAACATACCACTTTTTAAGATTTATCAAAAAGAAATAGAAAACCTGAATAGACCAATAATAATGAGTGGTGAGACTGTATCAGTTTTTAAAAATCTCCATACAAAGAAAAGCCCAGGAAGAGATGGATTAGCAGCTGAATTATTCTACCAATATGCAAAGAAGAACTAATAGAAATCCTCCTGAAATTGTCACAAAAAAAAAAAAAAAACAGCAAAGAGAGAATTATCCCTAACTTATTCTACAAGGCCAATATCTCTTTTATACTAAAATCAGACAAGCACACAATGAAAGAAGAAAACTGCAGACCAATATTCCTGATTAACATAGATGCAAAACCCTCACCAAAATACTATCCAATCAAATTCAACAGTGTATCATAAAGATAATACACGACAATCAAATGGGTTTTATACCAGAAATGCAAAGATAATTCAACATATGCAAATCAATAAATATGAACATTATATAAACAAAATTAAGTACAAAACTCATATGAGCATCCCAATAGATGTAAAAAAAGCATTTGATGAAATCCTGTGTGTCTTCATGCTAAACACCCTCAACAACTTAAGCATAGAAGAAACATGCCTTCAAGTGATATAGGCCAGAAGATGGCTGACTAGAAGCAGCTAGTGTGTGCCACTCCCAGAGAGAGGAGAGAGTGTGGTGAGTAAACACTATTTTTTGAACTGAATTGTCCAGAAGAGCACTTTGTGATTCATTAAGGAAGCAATAGGACCCACGGAGAACAGAGAAGTGAGATAGGACAGCCACCCACCTGGGATTGGCATGGAACAAAGGGAGGCTCCCTACCATAGGGAAATGGTGAGTGAGCAAGAGCGCCTGGCTCTTCTCACAGACACACTTCTGCCACAGGCCTTTGCAAACCTGGGCATAGGAAATCTCCCCTGATCCTCTTCCCTCCCTGGGACCTCCAGAGTGACAGAGAATGCTACATGGAGTACGAGCAGAGCCTCCACTAAGACACACAGAGTCCCAGGTGCCTTGGACCCCTGAGCACCTTGACACCAGTGACTGTAGCTCTACCAACAATGGAGGCCAGGCTTTTTCACACTCCCCAGGAAAGGGGCCCATCCATGGTGCTGAGGAGAAAATGGTCTGCAGGCTTGGCCTCTGCTACACCTCATTAGACAAAGACAATTGGCCTAGGACTTTAGCACAGCCACCCCAAGCTGCCTGAGCTCTTAGGCCTGTGGCAGTTCTGCATTTCCGTGGGACAGAACTCCCAGAAGTAAAACACAGGTCTGACATTTTTGCTGCTGCTGCAGCCCCCAACCCAACTGCCTTCAGGTTCCATAGGGAGCAGAGAGATGAAGGACTATTGCAGGCCTCCAGCACAACACAGCTGCCCTCCAGAAAAGTGGCCAGGCTGTGTTGCACGTGAACCCCTGATCCTGTAACTCCTCAGTGGCCAGGGTCTCTCAACCTGGCCCCCTAGCGCAGCTGCCCTGCCCCTGCCAAGGCACAGCATATCAGTTGGTGCGTGTTCTGCATTTGTCTGAGGAGTAAATATTAGAGACAATCCCCCTCCCTTCTGCCACTGCCAATGCAGCAGTAATGCCCTTACTGCCCTCTAACGGGGGAAGAAACAAGCAGCCTGAGTGCTTTACTCATACCTCCAGCATGCTAGTCACCACAGGGAATTGAGATGAGTCTCTCTTCTCAGTGAGTCCCCAACCCCCTGCTCTTCACCAGGCAGGGACCCCTGGCTTGGGCCTGAAATGCAGCCACCATGCCCTGGGCTGATTGTTCCCACTGGCAGATGCTCTTCATTGCTCTAGGGTGGAGCTCCAAGAGACAAGGAAAAGGCCTTCTCCCATTACCACTACCAAAGTCCTAGTCCCTGCTTCCCCCAAGCTTGAGAGGGAAAAAAGCCTGAGCTTGCCCCATGGCTGTGGTGCACAGCCCAAGAGTGACAAGCTAAGATCTGTAGCCAGCACTCAAGTAAGAGAGGAGTTCACACTCTCAGAGCCCTGAGGAGAAGCATGGCTACAAACAGGAGGAAATACAGAAGAGCTACATGGCTGAGCAAAAGCCTACCTAAAGGGCATTTTGCTTTACCGCCATCTACTGCATCACAGCCCAAACTTCAACAACAAAAAATACTTAGATTACTATATCCCCCTGTGAGACCAGGGACACAAATTCAGCCAAAAATAAAGATGCTGCACAAAGCCTTGGCCCTCTGAAAACATGTAGAAGTGAAGCCAACTGACTGTGCTCAAATTACACCAAGGTAAAGGGAACATTGGTCCACAGAGATGAGAAAGAACCAGTGCAAGAATTCTGGCAACTCTAAAAGCCAGAGTGTCTTCTTACCTCCAAACACCACAACAGCTCTCCAGCAATGGTTATTAATCAGAAGGAAATAGCTGAAGTAAAAGACATAGAATCTGGAGTCTGGATAGCAATTAAGATCCTTGAGATTCAGAAGAATGTTGAAACAAATTCCAAGGATTCTATGGAATCCAGTTGTATTAGTCAGTTCTCACATTGCTGTAAAAAATAACTTAGGCTGGGGTAATTTATAAAGAAAATAGGTTTAATTGGCTCATGATTCTGCAGGCTGTGCAGGAAGCATGGCAACAACTGCTCAGCTTCTTGGGAGGCTTCAGGAAATTTACAATCATGGCAGAAGGTGAAGGGGAAGCCGGCACTTCACATGGCCAGAGCAGGAGGAAGTGAGAGAGCAGGGGAGTTGCCAGACACTTTCAAATGACCATATCTCATAAGAATTCACTCTCTATCACAAGAACAGCACCAAGGGGGGAATTCTGCTCCCATGATCCAATCGCCTCCAACCAGACCCTGCCTCCAATATTGGGGATTAAAATTTGACATGAGATTTTGGCAAGGACACAGGCCCAAACCGTATTATTTCCTCCGTTGGCCCCTCTCAAATCTCATGTCCTTCTCACAACAGTCCCCCAAAGTCTTAACTCATTCCAGCCTTAACTCAAAAATTCCAAAGTCCAAAGTCTCATCTGAGATGAGACTAGTTCCTTCTGTCCTGAGCCTGTAAAATAAAAAATTAGTTACTTCCAAGATATAATGGGGGTAAGGTAGTAGGTAAATATTCCCATTCTAAAAGGGAAAAATCAGCCAAAAAAAAAAGGGGGTGGGGCTAAAGGCCCCGTGCAAGTCTGAAACCCAGCAGGGAAGTCACTAAACTGTAAAGCTCCAGGATAATCTCCTTTGAATTCATGCTCCACATCCAGAATTCATTGGTGTGAGGGGTGGGCTCCCAAGGCCTTGGGCAGCTCTGCCCCTGTGGCTTTGCAGGGTTCAGTCCCCATAGCTGCTGTCATGGGCTGCTGTTGAACACTTGTAATTTTTCCAGAGACATAGTGCAACCTGTCAGTGACTCTACCATTCCAGGGTCTGGAGAATGGTGGCCCTTTTCTTACAGCTCCACTAGGCAGTGCCCCAGTGGGTACTCTGTGTAGAGGCTCCAACCTCACACTTCCCCTCCTCACTGTTCTACTGTGGGTTCTCCATGATGGCTCCATCCCTGCAGCTGGCTTCTGCCTGAACATTCTGGATTTTCCATACATCCTCCAAAATATAGGCAAAGGATCCCAAGCCTCAACTCTTGCATTCTGTGCACCCACAGGCTTACCACCACATGGAAACCACAAAGGTTTATGGCTTGCACCCTCTAAAGCAGTGGCCTGTGCTGTATGTAGGTCCCTTTAGCCATGGCTGGAGCTGGAGTGACTGGGATGCAGGCAGTAGTGTCCTGATGCTGCACAGGGCAGTGACACCACCGGCCTGGCCCATGAAACCATTCTTTACTCCTAGGCCTCTTGGCCTGTGATGGGAGGGTCTGCCATGAAGGTCTCTGAAATGCCTTCAAGGCAAAACAATTCAACATGACATTTGGGTGGGAAAACAGACCCACACCAAAGCACCAGTAAAATGTTTCAAGAGAAGAAAGATAAAATAGCCATTTTAATGAGGAGCTGAACTGAGCTGATTGAACTGAAAAACTCACTACAAATATTTCATAACAAAATTTAAAGTTTTAGCAGCATAGTAGACCAAGCTGAGGAAAGAATTTCTGAGTTTGAATGCTGGTTCTTCAAATTAACTCAGTCAGAAAAAAAAATTAGAAAAAATAATTTAAAAATGAACAAAACTCCTGAGAAATATGAGATTATGTACAGATAACAAATCTACAAATCATTTGCATTCTTGAAAGAGAGGGAGAGAGAACAAGTAGCCTGGAAATTCTATTTGAGGATACTGCCCACAAAAACTGCACCCCCACCCCCGAGAGAGATTGACATGCAAATTCAGGAAGTTCAAAGGACCCCCACAAGATACTAAATGAAAAGACCATCCCCAAGACACACAGTTATGAGATTCTTCAAGGTCAGAACAAAAGAAAAAATATGAAAGGCAAATAGAAAGAAGGGGCAGATTACTTACAAAGGGAACCTCATCAGGCCAACAGCAGATCTTTCAACAGAAACCTTACAAGACAGAAGAGATTGGGGGCCTATATTCAGCATCCTTAAGGAAAAGAAAACTCCAACCAAGAATTTGAGTAAAGGAGAAATACAATTCTTTTCAGACAAGCAAATTCTAATCAAATTCCTTACCAACAGGCCTGTATAACAAGAGGTCCTTAAGGTAGCATGCAGCACGGAAATGAAAGGTCATTTCCAGCCATCACAAAAGCACAGTCAGGTATATAGACCATCGATATTATAAAACAAATCCCCAATCAAGTCTACATGTAAAAACAGCTAACATCATGATGACAATCAAATCTGCACATGTCAATATTAGACTTAAGTATAAATAGGTTAAACATCCTACCTAAAAGGTACAGAGTGGCAAGTTGGATAAAGAAGCAAGACCCAACTCTAGGCTGTCTTCAAGAGATCCATCTCACATGGAAGGACACCCATAGGCTCAAAGTAAAAGGATGGAGAAAGATATATCAAGCAATAGGAAATTTTTAAAAAGCAGGGCTTGCTATTTTTATTTTAGACAAAATCAACTTTAAACCAACAGCAATCAAAAAAGACAAAGCAGGACACTATATAATGATAAAAAATTCAGTTCAACAAGAAGACTTAACTATCCTAAATATATATGCACCCAACATTGGAGCACATAGATTGATAAAACAAAATCTTAGAGATTGGCAAAGAGACTTTCATTACCACTCAGTAATAGTGAGAGACTTCAACTCCCCAGCAAATGTATTGGGCAGATCATCAGGGAAGAATACTAACAAAGCTATTTGGGACCTAAACTAGTTACTAGACCAAATGGATCTAAGAGACAACTACAGAACAATCCACATAACAAAAACAGAATACACGTTCTTCTCATTTGTAAATGGCACATACTCTAAAATTTATCTTATACTTGCCATAAAGCAATTCTCAACAAATTAAAAATTAAAAAAAAATCATACCAACACCACGGGGCCACAGTGCAATAGAAACAGAAATCAGACTAAGAAAATCTCTGAAAACCATACAATTATATGGGAGTTAAACAATTTGCTCCTGAATTTTGGGTAAATAATAAAATTAAGGCAGAAATCAAGAAATTCTTTGAAACTAATGAAAACAAAGACACCACGTATCAGAATCTCTCAGACACAGCTAAAGCAGTGTTAAGAGAAAAGATAATAATGCTAAACACTTACATTAAAAAATTAGAAAGAGCTCAAATAAACAAGCTAATATCACACCTAGCCAAACTTGAAAAGCAAAAGCAAACTAACCCCAAAGCTAGCAGAAAAAATAAATTAAACACAATCAGAACTAACCTGAATGAAATGGAAACAAGAAAACTCCATAGACTCTGCCCAAAGGCTCCTAGATCTAATAATAATAATAATAATAATAATAATAAAAGACTTCAACAATGTTTCAGGTTACAAAATCATGTACAAAAATTAGTCACATTTTTATACACCAATAATCATCCAGCTGAGAATAAAATCAAGAAGACAATCTTATTTACAATAGCTATCAAAAATTTAATACCTAAGAATGTAATTAATCAAACTGGTGTAAGATCTGTACAAGAAAACAGAAACACTGATGACAGAAATTGTAGATGACACGAACAAATGGAAAAACATCCTATGCTCATGGATTGAAAAAATCGATATTTTTGAATGAACATTTTGCCTCATGCAATCTATAGATGTAATGCAATTCCTATCACAATAACAATATTATTTTTCACAGAAAGCAAAAAACAATCCTAAAGTTCCTATGAAGCAAAAAAGAGCTTGGAATAACCAAGGCAATTCTAGGCACAAAGAGTAAATCTGGAGGCATCACATTTCCTGACTTAACAATGCTATAAGTAACCACAAAATCATGTTACTGGCATGAAAATCGACTTATAGCTTAATGGAACAGAATAGAGAACCCAGAAATAAAGACAATATGTACAGCCAACTTATATATACCAAAGTTACAAGAACATACATTGGGGAAAGAACACCCTTTTCAATAAACAGTGCTGGGAAAATTGGATGGCCTTATGCAGAAGAATGAAACAGGACCCCAATCTCTCACCATATAAAAAATCCAAAGCAAGATCTATCAAAGAGTAAAATGTAAGACCTGAAACTATAAACATATTAGAAGGAAACTTAGGGAAAACTCTGCTAGACATTGGTCTAGGCAACAAATTCATAGGTAAGACCTCAATATCACAGTCCACAAAAACAAAAATCAACAAATAGGACTAAATAAAACTATACATCTTCTGCACAGCAAAAGAAACATTCAATATAGTTGACAGCCAACTTGTAGAATAGGATAAAATATTTACCACATGTGCATCCAACAAGGTTCTAATATCCAGAATATACAGGGATCTCAGAAAAAATAAGTAACCTCATTTAAACATGGGCAAGGACCTGAATAGACACTTTTCAAAAGGAGACATACAAATGTCCAGCAGATATATGAAAAAATGTTCAACATCACTAATAATCAGGGAAATGCAAGTTAACACCACAATGATGCATCATCTTACTCCAGTCAGGAAGACCATCATTAATAATAATTTCAAAAAAAGATGTTGTCAAGAATGTGTAGACAAGGGAATGCTTATACACTGTTGGTTAGAATGTAAATTAATGCAACATCTATAGAAAGCATTATTGATGTTTCTCAAAGAACTAAAAATACAACTACTATTCAATTCAGCACTCCCACTACTACTTATCTACCCAAAGGAAAAGAAATCATTGTAAAAAAAAACTGCACTTTTATGTTGATCACAGAATTATTCACAATAGTGAACATATGGAATCAACCTAAGTGTTCATCAAACCATGATTGGATAAATAAAATGTGATACATATATATAATGGAATACTACTCAGTTTTAAAAATAATGAAATCATGTATTTTGTACACCATGAATGGAACTGGCAGCCATTATTTTAGTGAGTCAGGCAAGACACAGAAAAACAAAAATGGCTTATTTCAGTTACAATTTGGAGCTAAATAATGAGTGCACGTGGATGTAGAGTGTAGAATGATAGACAATAGTGTCTTGGAAGGGCGAGGGTGTGGGAGGCAGGTAGAGGATGAAAAACTACTTAATGGGTAGAATGTACACAGTTTGGGTGATGGATACCCTAAATGCTCTGACTTCACCACTGTGCAATCTATGCATTTAACAAAATTAAACCTGTACCTCATAAATTTATATAAATTTTAAAAAGGAAACCACCAGAATGTATATATAATCATTATCAAAATATGTGTCACAGATAATATTTTATTGCACTAAAGGATTTCACCAGAACAACTATTGTAGAAGGATAGTATATTCGAAATCATCATTTAGCCTTTTTCTGAAATATTCTTGTCATTTTGTCTTATCTATTATGCAGTTCTCTCACTGGAGGATCAGTGAGTTTATAGATTCTCTCCATCTTGAAGCATTACTCCAGAACTAGCAGAAAAATTATTTTCTATTTGTAAGCATTTTTAAAAGTTAATTTTATTCTTATTTCAATAGTTTTGGGGTACAGGTGGTTTGGGGTTGCATGAGTAAGTTCTTTAGTCATGATTTTTGAGATTTTGGTGCATCTCTCACTGGAGCAGTATACACTGTATATAATATGTAGTCTTTTATCCCTCACCCTGCTCCTAACATCCCCCACTCTGAGTTGCCAAAGTTCAGTATATCATGTGTATGCCTTTGCATTTTCCTTGCTGAGCTCTCACTTAAAAGTGAGAACATACAATATTTGATTTTCCATTTCTGAGTTACTTCATGTAGAATAACGTCCTCCAGCTTCATTCAAGTTGCTGCAAAAGACATTATTTCATTCCATTTTATGGCTGAGTAGTATTCCATGGTGTGTATATACCACATTTTTTTATCCACTCGTTGGTTGATGGACACATAGCTTGGTTCCATATCTCTGCAATTGTGAATTGTGCTGCTATAAACATGCATGTGTATGTGTCTTTTTCATATAATGCTTTCTTTTACTTTGAGTAGATCGGTGGATCGAATGGTAGTTCTACATTTAATTCTTTAAGGAATCCCCATACTGTTTTCCATAATTGTTGTACTAGTTTACATTTCACCAGCAGAGTGAAAGTGTTCCCTTTTCTCCACATCCATGCCAACATCTGTTGTTTTTTGACTTTTATATTATGCCCTTTCTTATAGGAGTTGGGTGGTCTCTCATTGTGGTTTTAATTTGCATCTCCCTAATAGTGATGTGGAGCATTTTTTCATATGTTTGTTTACTCTTTGTATAACTGCTTTTGAGAATTGTCTACTCATGTCCTTTGCCTACTTTTTTATGGGATTATTTGTTTTCTTCTTGCTAATTTGAGTTCTTTATAGATGGTGGGTATTAGTCCTTTGTCAGATGCATAGGTTGTAAATATTTTCTCTCACTCTGTGGGTTGTCTGTTTACTCTTCCGATAATTTATTTTGCTGAGCAGAAGCTTTTTAGTTTAATTAGGTCTCATTTATTTATTTTTGTTTTTGTTGCATTTGCTTTTGGGGTCTTAGACATAAATTCTTTGCCTAAGCCAATGACAAGAAGAGTTTTCCAATATTATCTTCAAGAATTTGTATGGTTTCAGATATTAGATTTAATCTTTGATTCATCTTAAATTGATATTTGTATAAAGTGAGAGTTGGAAATCCAGTTTCATTCTTCTACATGTGGCTTGCCAGTTTTTCCACCACCATTTATTGAATAAGATGTGCTTTCCCCAATTTGTTTTGTATGTCTCGTTGAAGAACAGTTGGTTAAGTAATCATTTTAAAAATGTGAAAATCATCACCCTAAGGGCATATATTAAGTGTGACTAAGAATATATTTTCAGAACAATAAAACTGAATGTTTATTCCAATTTACACGCACAACAGTTGAAGACATATCTTTACAAATTAAATTAAATTATACATGTTTTCAACTAAGCCTCTGAAAATTATAATGCTCCTTAAGCCTTGACTTTTATTAATGGTTTATGAGAAAGAGCATATCTGTGATTAGTAACAAAGTTTATCGTTTGTATGTCTGCTAAATTTGGAGCTTTAAAAACTAAAATATATGATATCCAAACTAGTCTATAACTTGAAAATATGTTATTAGTTGGCAAATTCTAGTAATGAGACAAAAATTCCAAGCTCTTTGACTAGAAACCAAAACAAATTAAGCTTTGTATATTCTCTCTGAGACACATAGACTATAAACCATATTGACAGGTAATATTAGTCTAAATTCTTCATATTTTGGTGGAATGGGCTTCCACTGGAAGTTGGAAGTTATAGCATTTCATCCTATCTCTGCTAAGAATAGTTGAGCAAATCACTGAACAGACCAAGTCGTGAAGTTTCTATACATGTTTGTACAATTCTTATTTAGACAAGGACTCTATAGCTCTTTATAATCTAATATCTTATTATTTTAACATTAACATTCCCAGAAGTAAAAACATATATATATATATATATATATATATATATATATCTTTTACTCACAGATACATATTTACTATGTATGGCTTTATTGAATAATGTATACATACTTAACTGTATTTTGGTTTACCTGCCCAAGACTATGACCACGTGTGTCAAATAAGTGACATTTATAAAGACTTTATACATTAAGTGAACAGAACTTCAAAGCTTGAATTAAACTCAAAATATTCTATGTGATAGGAATACAGATTTTATTATTTCAAATTTATTTTATTTAGGAATTCACGCTTTATTTTTTTACTATTATAAGCTTGTAAGTATAAAGAGGCTACCACTAGTTCAGAAAATGTAATATTTGGATTTATATATCAAAGCAATTAGATCATTATTGGTATAATATTTCAAATTACTTATGTTTTGGGGTGATTTTTACACTCGTTATTTACCTCATAATTTTCTTAGGCTTGAGGGTCTAAGGAAGATCTAAATCATCCCTTTGATTACCAATCAGAGTCAAAGATAAATCTAAAATAAAAGTTAAAAAGTTAATGAGACAAAAGAGTAACATAAAGGGTAACAAAGTGATAATAAAGAGATAAAGAAGGAAAAGGAAAGTAGGAAGAGAAGGAAAAGGAAAGAGGAGGAAGAGGAAACGAAGAAACACATGTAAAGAGAGTAATATTGACCAGTGATTTAGAGCTAATTTAAATATGCTCTGACACACAGGGACCTTGAAACAGGAAAAGCTCTCTTATTGAAATACTCAGCATCAGTGGTTATTTTTATATAGCATACACGTTTCCTTATACCTTAACTTAATTCTGTTTCCAGCTAATTAAATATTACCTAACTTCACAAGCTGACACTTGAAAATAAACTTTCATCAGTGAAGCATTTTTGACAGGCATTCATTCATTCAACAAGATTTTCAAAGTACTGATTTTGTACTGTGTTTTGGGTTATTTTCTCAACATGTAGAGTGGAAAAGCATGTTTACATACCGTCTTCACAGAGCAGTTCTTAAATTATAAGTTGCATGTGAATCACTAAGAATCTTGTTAAATTGTCAATGTTTGAGGCATAGCAAAGTGAATTTATTATTTTGTTAGAAAATGAACTCCAGGAATCGGAACCTTTAACTATGAGCTGTAAACCAAAAAGTGTCTGAGACAGATCTCAATCAATTCAGAAATTTATTTTGCCAAGGTAAAAGACATGCCTGAAAAAAGAAGGATCACAAATCCACAAGAACAATCTGTGGTCCATACGTTTTTCCAATGATTATTTTGAGGACTTCAATATTTAAAAGGAAAAAGTAGGCTGAAGGGGAAATAGGGAGAGTACAGTCACATTACTGAATCCACATGTTGCAAGAGAAAAGTAGCAGTAAAGAAAGAGTCAATTAGTTCAACTAGCACTCAGTAACTCAGAATGTTACACAAGAAATGTAAGTATAGAGTAGCTACCTGTGGTTATATTTAACCTTTTATCTGTAACTCTGCTTAGGAACAAAAAGGAAAGGAAATTTCATGCATGATTCAGCTTTTAGCTTAATTTATACTTTTGGCCATAATTGGGTTCCTGAGATTTTATTTTTCCTTTCACATTCATTTCCCACCCCTCCTTAAAATAATATCTTTTAGAGAAAGCATATTAGATGAAAATGAGTCTCTGGTTTCAGATTTTGTCCAATCTCTCATGGCTAGGATGGTTTATTCCTAGATGGATAGGTCCCATATTGTGAGGAAAGCTCATTGTTAGCAAGTTCTGAAGTCTCTTGTTCCATTAAGGAAAATTGGGGATGGAAGAGAGAAAGAAAACAGAAGAACAAAAAAGAGAATTAACAAATAGAAAGGTAAAACAATCCTGGAAAACTGATATAGGCCATATTACTCTGAAGTTCATACGTCAGTAGACAGGTATAAAAGTATATTTATATATAATATATAATATAATATATTTTATATTATAGTATATAATATAATATATTTTATATTATAGTATATAATATAATATATATTTTATATTATAATATATTATAATATATTTTATATTATAATATATTATATATTATAATATATTTTATAATAATATATAATACATTTTAATATATATTATATTATAGTATAGTATAACACATTTTATATATTATATATTATATATTATATATACTATATAACAAAATATAATACATAATCTATATATATAACATATATATGTGTGTGTGTATTGTTGTCCTTTTCTTCCAATGTTTATTTCCAATGTTTAAGTATTCTAGCTTCAGGTTACAGAACTTTAACAAAAGCACAGTTTTAATTTTTCAGTGATTTCAAATCATTGAAAATAGAGAAAAAAAGAAAAGAGAGAAAAAAATAAAAAACATGACTTTAGAGACTTGTAGCCAGGAAAATGTGAGGATTCAGTTCAAATTTTAGAAAATAATAAAAATTGAAAATTATTGGATAAACTTAGAATCTAGTAAGAAGTGTACTATAGTTTATTTTGAAAAAATAATTTATGTCTCTAATTACCCAATTTTATTAAAGGCAAAATCATAGCAGGACCAATTTGTTTGTAAAAGAAATTTTAGTTGTATTATACTTGACATGTTCATTTCCCTAAAATTGAGCAAGAGTAATCGTTTGCCATATAAGTTTTTTTTTTTTTTTTTTTTAAATTGGCCTTGCTGGAACCTTTCTAAAAGCCTTGATCCCAGTCAAAGATTTATCTGTGCCTGTAGGTACTGGTATGAATTGAACGAATTTCTCTTTTTTTTGAGGTACCAAGTAGGCTTGGGGTTCCTGGGCCTGTCAGAAAATAACATTCTTTACCTACCACAGGTCAGGACTCTCTTAAGGACAAAATATGAGACCTGTTTCTCCAAGGGGCTTTTAAAGCTCTTTAGGTCAGCCCTATTTTTTCAAGGCCATTTGAAAGTGTGTCATCCTAGTCAAAGCCTTGATAAAATAACCAATGTCTCTAATCATATGTTGCTATAAAGGAAAACAGATTCTTATTGAACTGATGCAAATAGCTATATAATCTATAAATTAAGAATAATCAAAAAGTTTCCAAATGTTGGAAACACGTTGAAAAAAAAGAATTACATTTTAAATTTTGCTCATAAGAGTTTATTTTATTCAATTGTTAAAAGCTTAAATGGCAAAAAAGAGGAAAAAGTTTTATTGGCTCTGATAAAAAAAGAACTGGCAATGTTTTAAACAAAGGTCATAAAAGGTTATTTTCAGTCGACTATTAGTTCACTCCATGCAATGAACTTTTTTGCTCCATATTTGATCAGCAATCCTCATGAATATATCACATCTCCATGAGAGTCCTGGAAGATTTTTTCTTCATTCCAACGGCACAATCTCTAAATTTATCAGAAACCTATATTTTAGAGAACTCTTCAGAGCTCTGTAGCTGATTATAAATAACCCTTTCAAAAGGTTAAAGAATAACAATTGTGGATGAAATAAGTCTTAGAACAACCATGATAAAAAAAATTGACAGGAAAATTTGGTTATTTCTGAGGCTTGCAACTATTTAACATAATCATAATTACTACTAATAATATATACTAAGACTTATCAGAGTCACAGAAATCTCATATAATTTTGGAACTCATGCTAATAATACACTTTTATAAATATAATCCAAAACATATTAGACATTATTTCATAGTTGACAATGCTTCCTATGGTTTTATTATACCAATGTAAGCAAATATATCTGTTTTGGATTTCAGGAAAACCTAATATCAAAAAAAATGAGATCAAAAAGAATAAATTCAGCATTTGATTTTGGAAAGTTTGTGAAATAGCAAAAGTTTAAGACACTTGATATAATCAAAAGGGATCGCAGATTATTGTAAAATAAGTCATTAATTTAGCCTACATAACTCAATTTTTTTTTTAAAAAAAGTAAAAGCCTTTATTCTTTATTAGAGGAGAGTTACTTATCTAAATAATAATCCCTAATAAAGATAGCATGATGCCAGTTAAAAATCTCTCAGATATTATAAACAAATCTATTAAACTGTTAATATCTTTACCATAAGATATGTTTGCAAACCATTTTATAAACTTTTCTATTTTTTTTCCTTAAAATGAAGATTAATGATCTAAGAAAACCTGGGGCCCCAATGCCGGTCTTGCATCAGTGTGCCTTTGATATTAATGTTTAATTTATAGAGCAACTGAACTTACTGTTTCTCTCAAAATTGGCTCCTACAATCTCACATACCTACCTGTCCACAATAGTTCCTGGCCTAGAGGGGTTGAGTAGTCTTAATTTTCATCCCTGTGTCTCAAGAACACAGTTCATTTTTTAATCACCTTCTCATGGGCCTGACAATGAGGTTTTAACTATGGTTAATGTTTAAGATTTAGCAGGAGTTGGGGTCCTTTTTACACCCAAGAGTCAAAGCCCTGTAGCATACCAGAACAAGGATTTTAAAAGCCTTACAGAAAGTTACATGCATGTAATAACATTAATTAATTTTAAAAAATCTCAGTTTTTTCTAAGCAAAAACAGATTTTTTAAGAACTTAATAACATTGACATAGCAAATTTTTCAATAAAATTAAAATGTGTTTCTTAGACTAATTACCAAAAAGCAAAAAACTGATCTTGTGCAGTGTGATTGCATTTCTTTATGGGGAGTTCATTTAGATAACCTGCAATTCCAAACTAATGAAAAGGGCACTAAAATTTATTAGACATAGTAAGAGTGTATCCTTGGTCATCAGTGAAGGTTTTACATTTCATAGAGCCATTTAGATATATTAGGAGGAGCCAAGAATATAGAATTATTATATCTGAAAAATACATTTATTTTAGATCTTCAAAATAAAATATTTTTAGCATCAGACCACAGTGACAGAAGCTGAGAAAAAAGTTACAGGAGGTGATAAAAAGCTTGAAGGAGAGAGTTATTATTTTAGGCCTCTTCAAATAGAAAATAAAGCTGAAAATTAGATGCAAGGAAAGTCAAATTTTGGGGTGAAAAATTAAAATTTATTATAGTTTTATTAAAAGTAAATCAATACTTTAAAAATTTTTTTACTCTAACCAATTGTTTTGTGTATTAATGTATTCTTAATATCAAAGCCCAATCTCTAGGAAGACTATTATATACAATTTCCTTTCAATTGTAGCCAACTTAATTACATGAAGATTTTTTTCAAAAATTATCTTTTTACAAATCTGATTATGACTAACACAAACCATCTATGACATACTTGGGCTTCCAGTTTTATCCCAAACAAGTATCTTTCTTAAATAACCAGACACTTTATTTTAGGACACAAAATTACCATATAAGATTCTTTCTCATATGAAATTATTTTAGTTTTAACCTTTCTCACCAAAAATAAGTCTTTGTATTTAAACTTTATTTACTTCTCCCTTGTTTATTGTTTCCTTTTACCTTTTGTCATAAGTAACCTTTGAATTAGATAAAACTTATTTTCTCTTTTATAGCAATGTTTGTTTTAGAAAAATGTTTTTCTATAGTATAATTATAGAATATTGGTATGATGCAGACATTTAATGAATATATATTATTCAATTGAATAAAACTTTAAGATTCTGAACTATATGACAAGCATTTTTATAAGCAATTATTTTATTATGTTTACCTAATTAATTAGTTTATTCATAATAGTTTACCTAGATTACTTTTAAAAATTGTGATATTAGTCAAAGCTAATCATCATTTAAAGTTATTCCCTGTTAACCATTTTTATAGCCTGTGAAGACTGGTTGTTTACTTGAGTAATATCTTAAGGTTAAATAAATGGGCCTTTTTGGTAATAACCCAAGATCTAGCTGTTTTCATTAAACCAATAATATTGAATGCCTTTTTTATCACAAAAATTGCACGAGGATCATTCTGTTGGCCTGCCTTTGTAGCTCTATAAACTTCATATAAAATTTTGACCTTAATATTTAGTAGAGATAAATATAGAACTGCTTGAAAAATAGGTGTAAATATATTTTCGTATTTTTTTGTAAAGACAGGGTTTTGCCATGTTGCTCAGGCTAGTCTCAAACTCCTGGGCTCAAGCATTCTGTCCCCATCAGCCTCCCAAAATGTTGGGATTATAGGAGTGAGCCACCATGCCCAACCTTCTTGATAACCTCTTTCATTACCCTAAGCAATCATCAGCAACATAACCCTAAATTTGCATAACAAATTCTTAGGTGAAAATCAGCAAAATTTACATTGCAAAGTACACAGAGAGAGAAAGTTAGGGTGTGTTGCAAGAAGATTAAAATGGATGCCAAGCCAAACATAAAATTACAGAAATCTACCATAGGATTTTATAAGGAGACCAACTTTATTTAGATAGGTAGTTTTAAATTTATTCTCTATCTTTTAACTGGACCACTGAGCTCTTCCAATGTAGCCCGTATTGCAGAGGTTCCCATGCGCCAGGCTGCGGACCAGCACTAGCTTGTGGCCTGTTAGGAACTGGGTCACACAGCAGGAGGTAAGTGGCAGGTGGGCAAGTATTAACACCTGAGCTTCACCTCCTGTCAGATCAATGGCAGCATTAGATTCTCATAGGAGCACAAAGACATAGATAGATAGATAGATAGATAGATAGATAGATAGATAATAGATACACAGATAGATAGATAATAGATAGATAGATATCTTAGATACCAGCTTTTAATTAAGCTGACTTTTAAATATAAAGCTCCCTAAAAAATAATTTCAAATCTCTTACTACTATATTTTAGCTAGGACAATCAGCTGATATTCAAAAGGAGCATAAATATCAAACAAGAAAGGACTTGATTTAGGAAGCAAACCTAGGTTACAAAAGTAAAAAGGGCAAGATCTTAGTTACTGAACTATAGCTAATGGTAGCTGCTGTTGCTCTTCTTACAAGAAGAAAAACTAGAAGCAGCTTTTTTAGTAAAACGTACCCTTGTTTTGTGGCTGAAGCCCCTAAAGTAGTAGAAAAACATTTAAAAAAAAATCCTTTTTGCTGGCTGTTTTTTTTTGTTTGTTTGTTTTTATTTTTGCTTTGTTTTTTCAGTTTTGCAGCTGTAGGGGATTTCAGCCAATTCAGAGGCCTTGTTCTGCACAAGTTGGAATTTTCATTCAGATTTGACCAAACCAGGTAGAGTTGGTGAAATCCAATGGGAAAAGGAGTGAAAGGCCAAAACAAGAACAAGAAAAACAAACAATATGATTACTGAGAACTAGACCAGCTGGTTGACAATCTTAACTTTTAGTCATAACAAACCTGCACATTGTACACATGTACACTAGAACTTACATATAAAAATAATAATAATTAAAAAAAAGAAAAAGAAAATGACAGGCTGGCAATGGTGGCTCATACCTGTAATCTCAGCACTTTGGGAGGCTGAGGCGGGCAGATCACCTGAGGTCGGGAGTTCCTGACCAGTCTGACCAACATGGAGAAACCCTCTCTCCACTAAAAATATAAAATTAGCCAGGCATGGTGGTGCATGCCCGTAATCCCAGCTACTCAGGAGGCTGAGGCAGGAGAATTGCTTGAACCCGGGTGGCAGAGGTTGAGGTGAGCCAAGATTGCACCATTGCACTCTAGCCTGGGCAAAAAGAGCAGAACTTGGTAAAAAAACAAACAAACAAACAAACAAACAAACAAACAAAAACACGACTAAGACATTTATTTGAAGGCAAAACCCCAATTCGGCTATTTTCCTAGGAATGTGGCCAAGGCTGAAAGCTGATCTCTACCATCTTAGAAGCAGGGAAAAGCTCAAACTTGCCTTACCTATTGGAAGTGAGTAAAACTTCAGAAAAGGAGTCATACAGCTAAATCAACCTTAGATCTCAACCAAATTAGGGGAGATCAGGATTCTCTGGAGGGTAAATAAAACCTTCAGTACCTCAGCAAATTGTCCTATTGGTTTGAGCAATAAAATCTTGGTACCAGCTTGGGTACCAAGGTTTGAGGTTTGGTACCCAGGCTGGTACCAAGCACCAACAGAAGATTTGTCAAAGGTTAGGGCCACCTCCACTCAGAGTCCCCTTTGTTAGTCACCAATTTGTAAACCAAAAAGTCTCTGAAACAGGTATCAACCACTTTAGAGGTTTATTTTGCCAATGTTAAGGACTTCCTTGTAAAAGAAAAATCACAAATCCATAGGAACGATCTGTGATCCATACCTTTGTTATCCATACCTTTTTCCAAAGATGATTTTGAAAACTTCAGTATTTAAAGGGAAAATGCGGGCTGGAGGGGAAAGAGAGGGTATCGTGACATTGCTGTATCCACATCTTGCAAGAGAAAAGAAGCAGGTAGGGGAATAGTCCGTTAAGTTTTCAACTAGCTCTCAGTAAATCAGCACTTTATATAACATAAGGTGAACATAGAGTAGCTATCTATGGAGATATATAACCTTTATCTGTAGCTCTCTGCTTAGGAACAAAATGAAAGCAGGTTCTTGCATGACTCATCTTTCCGCTTCATTTTTTCTTTTTGGCATAGTAAATTGGGGTCCTAAGATTTTATTTTTCTTTCACATACCCCAGGGAGTTATAGTTCCCCTAAATAAAAACAATGGTTTAGAGTAAAAGAATATGCCAATTAATTACATAATAATATATAATAAGATTAATGTTTTGTGCAAACAAAATACATTATAGTATATGTGGACAACTGGAAAAATGTAATGAAGACTGTGATGAGGATTGAGTGGCACTATGAGACCTGAAAGATGTGTACTACTTAGCCAGATGCAAATGTTAGGGGATGGGAGAGATGTCCAGGAAGAGGAAACAAACAAGTGTCAAGATCCCAATAACTAAACTGCAGTTCACCATGGTTGTGTGCTAGGGAAGTATTTGTGTGACTGAAGGCAGAAGGGAATGTCTGATAAAAGAGCAATAAAGCCTCTTCACTCTGAGCCCCTCATGAACTCCCAGCCCTACCTAGAAAACCTCCAGCCACCCAAGATCTGTCAACTAAGAGATAAATGTCTGGCAGAGCAAAGGTCCTCCAGGTGGCATTTCATGTGGCAATTACATGCCTGTGTTTTACCAGTGTACAAATATTTTCAATATAATCACTGTATATGAGTAGAAAACTGGAAGGTTAATTGGGAACTAATAATGAAGAACTTTGTGAACAATATTTAGGATTCTTACCTAAGAGTAATTCTAAACCAAAGATGAAATCTAAACAAATGAATTCCATGATTAGAAATATACCAGTATCAAAGCAGTGGTGAGTAAGAGAGTGAAATGACAGAGGTAGAATTATTCTTACCTTTCCTTTAGAGCAGAACAGAGGGAATGTAAGGAGGGCTATTACACAATGAATGCTGGATATTAATTCTCAGAAAATAAGAATCAAATTTAGAGTTCTCATCTGGTCCCACAATATTGAAATACTGTCTAGACTTGCTGATTGGCATCTGAATGCCTGTTTCTCATTAAAGTGTAATACTCTAGCTAAACAGTAGAGAGGAGAGTAGTTGAGTCTTCAAATGAGATTTTCTATTCAGAGTCAGTATAATTTGGTTCTCTTCTCACTGAAGTCTATTATCACTTTGCCAAATTATACTACTGTATAACATAAAATCTAGTTATAGAGACTTGAAATCTAGATTTGGCAGCATTTAACACATTTTTATCTTTCTCTAAAAATATATTTTACCACTATAACTCAAGCTTTTCACCCTATCACATCTAGGCAGGCAGTTGAATACACAATTACTGCATAGTTCAGGTCATAAAGTTTGCACTATTTTTCACTGAGGCAATATGTATTATGATCATTCTCTCAATTATTTTCCTTTTGAAATGTTCTCACTTCTGATTATAATATCAAAAAGTTTCTAGTCTTGCCATAAAAATCTGTAATATGATTGTTTGCTTATATACTCTGCCCAATGAATAACGAAGTCTCCAAAATATTAAAATGTTCTTGTAATTAGTAGTGTCTGCTGTATCCATTTAATGTTGGGTGTGCTCCATTTTTTAAATGCTTCTGGTAATTTACTCAAACAAACTGCATACTGTAAACGAAGTCAGTCATTACATGTTGTACACTATAAACTAATGTATATACATTTAAAATATTTGTTTAACTTCAGTGACTTAAGTTTTGTGTTATTCACTGAAAATCAGAAGAGGTGTCTAAAATTACTACTGAATTGATAAACTTAATTTGATAATACAGTTCATCAATGTGACAAAGCATTAAAGCAGTTACTTTCTCTTTTTTTTTGGTTTTATATTATCCTTTTAAATGTCTTCATTGTTGACCTGATTTCCAGAAAATTAATTCTTTACACATTTTATTTGTTCTATCAGCATAGCAGAAACAAAAACATCCAGCCATAAATTGTGCTAGCAGTTAGAGCTTAATGATAAATACATTCTTGTTCTCTGCTACTTCGAATGATGAAATGTTATTAGCACTGAATTCTCACTTTACTACTCTAGACCCAATGAATAACATTAATTGTTTTATAACCCTACACCAACTCATTCTCCCTGATTCATAAAACAGTTATGCACCATTAAGAAGTATTTCTCAGTAGGGTCCATTTTTCCCCTTAAAAAAGAGTTTGAATTCATTCATCTCCCATTCTTATTCTGAAAATGCAGCATGAACTTTGAATTATACACTAAATTTTACGCAGTTCTCAGTCTCTAAATTAGCTGAGAAAGGAAAAATCTCTTAAACTACGTTCAAATGTAGATTTAGCACAATAGAGTTGCAAGGAAAATATGCCAATTATTTTTGAACAAATATGTATGCTATTTGAAGTCTTAAAGTATTTGCAAGGATGATATTTGCTTTTTAAACTTCAGAGAATAAAAGCATTGCAAGTGGACACCAAAACACCAAACACTATTCAGTCTGGTATTCAGAAATATGAAGGAATCATATATATCCTATATCTATATATATATTAATTAGAAGAAGGGAAACAGTTGAATTTAATTCTTGGCAAAAGCTCTGAATACTCTAAATTATGTAACCCAGTAATTCAGAAAGGCAAACAAAGCAGGAAGTGAAATTAAATCAGCAATTAAAAATTTTTTAATAAACTTGTATTCTCTAGAGAATTTCCTAAAAAATATTATGTCACTATAGAAATACAGATAATTAAAGCAATGTTTAATATGTTTTAGTTTAGAATATACTCCTCTAAGTCAATGAAGTAGATTTTAATTTGTATGAACAATTCAGACCAAGAGGCAAGTTTTGATTTGTCTCGTAAATTCACCTTTGTTTCCCTCTGCAGAACAGAAAAAGTAAAGCAATGATAATTTTTATTATAATAATAAATCATTATATCCCTGCTTTTAGCACATACTAAAAGTTAAAAACCTAATGGAAAATAAGCCATTGAGAGAAATGAACTGGTATAAAACTATTCAAATTTCCAATGAGCAGGAATGGGACAAACTCTCAAACAGCACCATGTTTATCTGGGAAAAGCTACTGAAGTATAGTGCAGTCATCTTGTTTTTTTTGTTTGTCTTTTTTTTGTTGTTGTTTTTTCACTCAGATGACACCATTAGGAAAACCATAGCCTCTTTTTTGTTCCTGCATTATATAAATACAAAATATTGGTGCCAAGTTCAATCATGGTGGTCCAAAATGAGTCGCTATATCACATTTGCTGCAAATGATGTGCTAGATATGAGAGAACTCAGTTTTTTCCCGACATCCAAAATGGGGCACATTGTTTTCTTTTTTCTTTTTTTTAATTTCATCTATTTTTATTTTATTGTTTACCACATTTTGTGAGGTTTTGAGAGGCAGCACTGAAAGCATCAATGTTAGAAATACAAGTCAGTTGAGTTCTTGAACGGGAAATGATCATCACTACATATTAATGAATTTGTCTAAAAGGAGTGCAATTCATACTTTGGAGATACCCCCTTTATTTAGCTACAGTTAGCAGTATGCTCATCATTCTGTGTTTTATTTTTATAATATGTGTTTGGTATATTTTGACTTAATAGTTGATTTTAAAATGTAATTTTCTTTGAAAATAACTTTTTCAGTAATCAAATCAATTTCCAATGAAAAGGAAATGCATTTGCTACAATTGAAATGTTATATGTACCCTAAATTTATTTATTAAATTATTTTATTACGGTACGAACACTTAACATGAGATCTAACCTTTAATAAAATTTTAAGTGTCCAATACAATGTTGTTGACTGCAGGCCCCATGTTGTGCACCAGAGCTCCAGAACTTATTCATCTTACTGAATAAAAACTGTGTGCCCATTGATAGGTAACTGTCCATATCCCCCTCCTACCATGGTTGCCTTGACAACCACCATTCCACTTTTTGATTCTATGAATTTATTTTGGATATCTCATATAGAAGGAATTATGCAGTATTTGTCTTTCTGTGACTGGGTTATTTCACCAAACATAATGTTACCCAGGCCTACTCATATTATCTCATATTAAAGAACTTTCTTTTCTAAGGGTGAATATTTATTGTATGTATATACCATATTTTCTTTGTGCATTCATCCATTAATGGACATTTAGGTTGTTTCTGCATCTTGGCTGTTGTGAATAGTGCTGCAATAAACATTGGGAGTGTAAATATCTCTTTAAGATTTTGATTTCAAGTATTTTGGTTATATATCCAGAAATATGAGTACTGGCCCAAATGGTAGTTTTCTTTTTATTTATTTATTTTTTGAGGAACTTCCATACTGTTTTCCAAATAGTATGAACTGACTGAACTGTATTGCATTTCCACGAAGAGTTTGCAAGGTTCCTAATTTCTCCACATCCTCACCAACACTTGTCTTTTTTTTTTTTTCATTGCTCACCTGTCAGAATGGCTATTATTAACAAAGGGCACATTGCTTTTTTTGGTGGTGACTGCTAAGAGTGCTCGAAGCAATGAAACCATGATAGAGGATTGAAATAGACAGTCTTTAATTTTAGCCATATATTTAGCAGCCACATAAAAGCTATGTACTTCTAGAATTATCTGAATTTATGAAAAGTGAAGAGTATTTTTAAATAGGCTATAAAGATTTTTATCTTTATAACCATTTGATAAGAAATTTTTGTTTATTTGGATTAAGCATATGCAGTGACAAAATCGAAATCACTAAGATATCATCAGTGTTGATCTTCCATCAGGAATCTAAAGAGCAAGTTTGTAAGGCAAAATAGCTGAAATAGTTGTAGATACCTAAATAGCTGAAATAAAGGTGGATAAACACCCTATTTTAAAATAGATGTAAGCTCCATATTGACTGATTGTTATAGATTCACAGAAACACACACACGTGAGCTTATACACACACACACACTATATATAGATGTCTTCTGCAAAGTAGCTCGTCTCTTCATTTAATTCTAAGTGCAGGAAAAAACTAGATAATTATGAATTTAACAATGATTCAAACTAGTGAGAGATGCACATGTCTATGAAAACATAGAAGTGAAGTTCCTTGAAGTATATGCATGTTTTTGCCTAGTAAAGTAATGAAGAAATGGCATGGAAAAAATGAGCACAATTGCAAAGCATTATATTAAATTCTGTGTGTGTGTTCTTCATGAATAACTCCATAGTGAAGATGTTGTTTGAATAAGAAAGAGTTTTCATCAAATTTTGAGGAATTATATTTGGCTTTAAATTACATTTCTAAATTGAAGGCAAGTAATTTAGTTGGTGTTAGTTTCATGAACTAACAGTTGTATAAATTACGGTATGAGAAAATCAGAAAGTTGACTTGGCTAGAAATGGCTTATGATGATTATAATACAATCAAATTATATTAATAAATAATACAAAGCAATTCAAAGATTTTAATGGTGAATCTCAAATACTTCATAATAGGCTGAAAATCATCCCTTAAGAGGCATTTTTTCCTCTTTTCTTTCCTGAAATATATGAGTTTACAATGCAATGCAAATTTCAACTCTCTTAAAATAACTTAATTCTAAATAATAATGAAATATCTACAAATGTCAGACTTACATATATGCAGTTCTATATTTTCATTTCCTTGTGTATTTAATTAAGTAACATATTTTCTTCATGTTAGAATTATAAAAAGATAATAATAATAATGGCTACCATAATTGAGTGCTCATGATATACTAAATGCTGTGCTAAATCCTTTGCAGGCATACTATCTTTAGAGTTCACAGAAAATGTATTTGATAAAGTATTAGCATTACTTGTAGAGAAGAAAACTAACAGCATAGACAGAGGAAGATTATGCTTATATAGTTATATAAAACAAAAACATAAATTGTACTAAAATTGGTCTGATTGTGAATTCATGCCTCAAACACCCATGAAATCCTCATTCGTGTAAGTGTTTTAATGTTGAAATCCCTAAAAGTTTAAAGCACTCTTTGGCCTTTTCTGCAAGCAATATTCTCCACTGGTTCCACCTCTGGCCTACCAGAGCAAGGACTTATTTAATGGAGCAGAGATAAAGTTTGGTAATATAAAAATGAAAGAGCACAGAGGGAAAGAAAACTTTTTTTTCTCTTTCCTTGAATACTAGAATATTTTAAATATTTTTATACTAGTTTAAAACACAGGATGCCTAGCCGAAGCTGGACTGTACTGCTGCCATCTCGGCTCACTGCAACCTCCCTGCCTGATTCTCCTGCCTCAGCCTGCCGAGTGCCTGCGACTGCAGGCGCGCTCCGCCACGCCTGACTGGTTTTCGTATTTTTTTGGTGGAGACGGGGTTTCGCTGTGTTGCCGGGCTGGCCTCCAGCTCCTAACCGCGAGTGATCCGCCAGCCTCGGCCTCCGGAGGTGCCGGGATTGCAGACAGTGTCTGGTTCACTCAGTGCTCAATGGTGCCCAAGATGGAGTGCAGTGGTGTGATCTCGGCTCGCTACAACTTCCACCTCCCAGCCGCCTGCCTTGGCCTCCCAAAGTGCCCAGAGTGCAGCCTCTGCCCGGCCGCCACCCCGTCTAGGAAGTGAGGAGCGTCTCTGCCTGGCCGCCCATCATCTGGGATGTTAGGAGCCCCTCTGCCTGGCTGCCCAGTCTGGAAAGTGAGGAGCGTCTCTGCCCAGCCGCCATCCCATCTAGGAAGTGAGGAGCGCCTCTTCCCTGCCGCCATCCCATCTAGGAACTGAGGAGCATCTCTGCCCAGCCGCCCATCGTCTGAGATGTGGGGAGTGCCTTTGCGCCACCGCCCCGTTTGGGATGTGAGGAGCGCCTCTGCCCGGTCGCGACCCCATCTGGGAGGTGAGGAGCGTCTCTGCCCAGCCGCCCCATCTGAGAAGGGAGGAGACCCTCCGCCTGGCAACCGCCCCGTCTGAGAAGTGAGGAGACCCTCCACCCGGCAGCCGCCCCGTCTGAGAAGTGAGGAGCCCCTCCACCCGGCAGCCACCCCATCTGGGAAGTGAGGAGCGTCTCCGCCCGGCAGCCGCCCAGTCCAGGAGGGAGGTGGGGGGTCAGCCCCCTGCCCGGCCAGCCGCCCCGTCCGGGAGGGAGGTGGGGGGGTCAGCCCCCCGCCTGGCCAGCCGCCCCATCCGGGAGGGAGGTGGGGGGTCAGCCCCCCGCCCGGCCAGCCGCCCCGTCCGGGAGGTGAGGGGCGCCTCTGCCCGGCCACCCCTACTGGGAAGTGAGGAGCCCCTCTGCCCGGCCAGCTGCCCCGTCCGGGAGGGAGGTGGGGGGGTCAGCCCCCCGCCCGGCCAGCCGCCTCATCCGGGAGGTGAGGGGCGCCTCTGCCCGGCCACCCCTACTGGGAAGTGAGGAGCCCCTCTGCCCGGCCAGCCACCCCATCCGGGAGGGAGGTGGGGGGGTCAGCCCCCCGCCTGGCCAGCCGCCCCATCCGGGAGGGAGGTGGGGGGGTCAGCCCCCCGCCCGGCCAGCCGCCCCACCAGGGAGGTGAGGGGCGCCTCTGCCCGGCCGCCCCTACTGGGAAGTGAGGAGCCCCTCTGCCCGGCCACCACCCCGTCTGGGAGGTGTGCCCAACAGCTCATTGAGAATGGGCCAGGATGACAATGGCGGCTTTGTGGAATAGAAAGCGGGGAAAGGTGGGGAAAAGATTGAGAAATCGGATGGTTGCCGTGTCTGTGTGGAAAGAAGTAGACATGGGAGACTTTTCATTTTGTTCTGTACTAAGAAAGATTCTTCTGCCTTGGGATCCTGTTGATCTGTGACCTTAACCCCCAACCCTGTCTCTCTGAAACATGTGCTGTGTCCACTCAGGGTTAAATGGATTAAGGGCGGTGCAAGATGTGCTTTGTTAAACAGATGCTTGAAGGCAGCATGCTCGTTAAGAGTCATCACCACTCCCTAATCTCAAGTACCCAGGGACACAAACACTGCGGAAGGCCGCAGGGTCCTCTGCCTAGGAAAACCAGAGAACTTTGTTCACTTGTTTATCTGCTGACCTTCCCTCCACTATTGTCCTATGACCCTGCCAAATCCCTCTCTGTGAGAAACACCCAAGAATGATCAATAAAAATAAAATTAAAAAAAAAAAAAAAACACAAACAGAAAACTAATATAGTTTGGTGTTGAACTATGGTAGTTACTCTATTTTTTTTCCGATACAAAAGAAATAATTATAACCTTTTAAGAAATGAGTGAAATCATCATCATTTTCTGCCATTTACTCTATCTGGAACCATTTGTAGTTTCATTAAAGTGTAATAATTCTGTAAGCAGAGTTTCAGTAATATATTGCAACTTTTGGTCTTTACAATTTGCATCAAGTTGCAGATACTGTGGCTCACCAGTAAAGGCTGTTCACTTCCTACTCTGACCTCAAGTTTAGGAGTGCCACAAACATGAGATGGGTGTGGATGATTCGATACTAACCAAAGAAACTACAAGGAAAAATACGGAGTTCTGGAAATGAGTCAGGGAACTCTATGTTCTAAAAAAACGGCAGCCTATGAAAGGAGAATGTCAAGACTAATTTATACGAAGTAAGCTGTCCACATTGTACTGGGAAGTTAGTGAGTAACTCAGTCAGCAGAGTGTAAAAGCTACAGTACCTCATTCTGTACAGGTCAGAAAATCAAAGAAGGCTATAAAGCTGGGAAACCTATAATACTGTGTGGATAGATGGTGGCCAACTCTTTGCTCTCTTTTAAGTCATGCACTGGGAAATTACAAAAAGCTCAATGTGACAAGCATGGTGGTATTGGGAGGTAATGTGACAGTCAAGGTTACCTGAAAATACGTTGGCAGGGTAAGTGAGGAGTGGTTAACTCTTTGTCCTCTAAAGTCTTCTACCTGAGTTCAAGATAGAATTCAACCCCAACAGGTTATGTGCCAAGGTACCTGAGAGATGTCGTGCAACATGAGCTAACATGGGGGAAGTAAAGAGACATTTAATGTGTGCAGGAATTTCATTCATTAGTTATTAATTCATTATATCAAAGCTTATATTGCATTTAGTAGTTGGTAGCACTGTTCTAGACCATGCAGTTCTAGGGAGAAGCAAAATGACAAAAATCCCAGTCTCCTTATAAGTCATCTTACATCTTACATCCTACAACCTTATTGTAGGAGGTTGCCTACAATAAATAAACTATATAAATTATACAGGTTATACATTATATGACGACAAGTACTGATAAAAACATATGGCAAGGAAAGTTTGAATTAGGAGGGGATGGATAGAATGTCTTTACCTAGAAAGTAAAGTTGAGTAAAGATTTGAAAGAATCTAGGAAGTAAAGTGGAGAGGAAGAATATTCCAAGTACGTATACATTATCCATTCTTTATACTGGAATGAGGGAAATGCCTTGTACTTCAGCCTAGTGGTGAAGGAGAAAAGACAGTGGGACCTGAGATTATCACAGGGACTTGGGAAGTAAGCTTATAAATTTTGGCTATAATTCAGAGTATAACAGGAAGCCATGAGTATTTTAAGCAGAGAGTGATTTATATTTTAATAGGATCATTTGGACTTCTGTGTTAAAAATTGCCTATAAGTGGCAAAGACAGAAACTAGGTGAGTAATTAGGGAGCTGTGACGATTATTCAGGTAAGAAATAATGTTTGCATAAACTGATAGTTGCAAAGGTAGTAAGAAGTGGCCTGTTTCTGGATTTATTTTGAAAACTGACTTAACCATATTAGCTGCAGTGGTGGCTGAGAAAAAGTAAGAAGTTAAAGATTACACTAAATATTTTTGTTTGAACCAGTATAAAAATGGATTTTTTATTTGATAAGATGGGAGATGCTGCAAGAAAAGCAAGAGATATAGAACAGAATATCAGCAGCTAAGTTTTGTAATTGATAATTTTTTGTTGCTTATAAGATATTTAAGCGGAGGTGAAGAGTAGGCAGCTAAATATGAATGTGCCAAATTGGAAAGGCTTGAAATTGATGGTATAAGTTTATTTAATTAGAATCATAGATAATTCTAATATAACTGATAGGGAGGAAAAGGGAGAAAGAAAATGAGAGAGAGAAGAGAGAGAAAAGAAAATGAGAGGGAGAAGAGAAACGGGGAGAGAGGAAGAAGAGAAACAGAGATGGGGAGAAAGAAGAAGAGAGAGAGAAAGCAGAACTGAGTGGGTAAGGGAGCAAGGGAGAGGGAAGGGGAGAAGGTAGGGAGAAGGAAAGAGAAGAGAAAGAGGAAAGGGAAGTAAAGAGAAGGAAGACAATGAAAGAAGAAAGCAAAAGAGACCAACTAAATCAAGCTCACTATGATATATTGAGATAGAGATGTGAGGACCTTCACAGGAGACTGAGAAAAGCTGTCAATGAGAACAAAGGAAAACCAAGAAAGCGGGGTACACTGTCAACCTAGCAAAGTACTTCAAGGAGGTGGAGTTATCACTTTTGCTTATAGATCCAGTAAGGTAAGTTTAAAAACTGGCCATTAGATTTAGCAGAATGGAGGTAACTTTAGATCAGATAATTATCTCTCAAACTGACCATGTAGTAGGCTACAAGGGAAATCTTAAGAAGCTTCTCTGCAAATGCACATGAAATTTTCCAACAACAACCCAAATATTAAAATATATTACAGAAATGTGAATTTAAGAAATATAACTGGAGACCAAATTATATACTCCTATATACTCATTGGTTTACAAGAAAATCATATGTAACATAGAACACGCTGCATATCAGTTAAGTCAAATCAGTATTTAGAGGGATTTTGTAGATATGAACACTGCTTTTAAGAAAAATACAATAACTAGCACGAAGGGATGAAGGGTTAATTGTAAGGCTAAGAAAGTTAGCAAAAATATAAACCCAGTGATGAGAATGCTAAGGTAGTAAATATACAAGGGTAAACTTAAATTAAGTTTTAATTTGTATATTAAATTTAACTTAATTAATTAAATTTCATTTTAATTCAACTTAAATTAAGTTGAATTAATTAATTAATTTTAATTCAACTTAAATTAAGTTGAATTAAAATAAAAAATAAAAAGTATTATGATAGATGAAATTATTGCAAAAAGAATTTTTTCAAAGGGTGGCAAAGAGAAAGTAAAATAAATGTATAAAATAATAAAATCTGTTGCAGAGCTTTTAAAGACCATAATAGATTCTACAAACTTTAAATGGCAAAATATAAAAATTCTAACTGAAATGGCCACATTTTCTAGAACTTATAATAAGCAAACTTGGTTATAAAAACTACTTTGAATGCTACAATAAACATCTGATAGCATGCAATGGAAACCAATCACTCTTCTCCCACCCTGTACACCCTGACAAAAGCCTCAGAACCAAGCAATTTATAGGCAAATTCCACCAAATTATTTAGAAGTAGATAATTTCTTCCTCTCACAAATATATCTAGGAAGTAGAAAATGTGAAAAGTTTTGTCCAACGCAATTTATAAATTCAACGTACTTTTATGATAAAATACTTCAAAGCATTATAGGAGAAAAATTATGAGCAAAATACTCTTATGAAAAGAGTTTGATAATCTTGGTATAATTAGTCAGTTTGTTATATAGTGTATTAAACATTACTCATTTTACTTTAGTAGGTTTTATCCCTTGCATGTGAGCTAATGGCATTGAATATTTCTGTAAATGATCAATGGAGAAAATGATTGTCATAGAAAATCTTGATAAATATTATAAATAAAATGTAAATAGGTTGAAAAAGATAATTTTTCAAAGTTCAAACATTAAAAATGTAAATAGACTCTTAGGAAATAAGAAACAGGTAAAAGATTCTTATTTTGACATAGAATATAACCACACCCTGAGAAGGAATAAGGCAGAAGAAGGCAGACATCAAAGTCAATGAAAAAACTTAAAAACATCTTCTTATTAAAGATTAAAAGGACAAGAATGCCTGCTTTTACCACTAATGTTTAAAATTATTTTTAAGTAATTCAAAAGTTCAGTATGTAAACTAAATGGGAAGCCTAAAGATTGTGAGGGAAAATTTTTTTACAGTAATTTGTAGTTTGCATGTGTAATGGCTAATTTTGTGTGCCAATTTGGCAGGCTATGGCGTTCGGTTGTTAGGCCAAACACTAGTCTAGATATTGCTATAAAGGTATTTTGTATAAGTGATTAACATCTAAAATCAGTTCACTTTAAGTAAAGCACATTATCGTGGATGATGAGGGTAGGCCTCATTCAATCAGTTGAAGGCCTTAACAGAAAATACAAATTTCCCAGGAAAGAATAAATTCTGTCTCAAGACTTTAGCATAAAATTCCTGCCTGAGGTTCCAGCCTGCCCTGTGGATTTCAGACTTTCCAGGATCCAATTATCTGAACCAATTCCTATATATAATACATACACACAGACACACACATACATGTATACATATATATATACACACACACAAATATTCACATATATGCATACACATACATATATTAAATATGAAGATATTTATAACACTATATATTAATCATCTATATAATATAGTCTATCAAATTATATGTTCCTATAAAATACATATTTATATATAGCCATTTATCTATTTATGGTATCTCTCTCTCCTATTGCCTCTGTTTCTCTGGAGAAGCCTGATTGACACATCATGATTACCAATATGATAAATCAAAAATAATTTATACATACATTTCAAGGAAATGTGAGGTGCTTTCAGCAATTTTGCGTGGTCAGCATGGAAAATTCAACAGCTTTTCTATATACCAGGAATTACCAACTAGAAAATACAATATAAAATAATTTGCCTTTACACTAGCAACAAAAATATTCATAAGGAGAGTTTTGAATTAACGTATCCCTAGATCTTCCCTAGAAGAAGATAAATTTTGAATTTACATATGTCCCTAGATCTTCATAGGGAGATATGTGAATTAATGTATGTCAGTTCCCATGTTAATAAATACAAAGCTCATCAAAATGGCAAAAGTTTATGTTGGAAGCTGATTCTGAAAGTAAGGAACAATAAAAATGCAGGGAGAGCCAAGACAATTTCAAAAGAGAAGAACACACAGGGAAGACACTTCATGTAGATATAAGGATATAATTCAAAATAGCAGTTATATACACGGTACAAAATGGGTGTGCAGAAGGAAAACATATCAATAAAGCACAACAGAAATCTTATTCATACCTGGAGGCTGACTTTATTATAGAGATGGCTTCAGGATAGAGATTACTGCAGGATGGATGTATTATTTAAAAGCTAGTATTATAATTTTTTCTTTTCCATCTGGAAAAAATGTTGGTTGTTTTACATTGTGTCTTGTGTGAAATGTATCTGATTCAAAAGATTAAGAGCTAAATAAGGATGATCTAAAATATCAAGTCCACGGGAGAAAATTTTAAAAATCTATATACAAATAAAATATATATATCACTATGATATATAAATATATAAATAAAAAAATACACAAATCCAAATCTTTTCTATCCATCCAATCATAATCCTACCTTCCCTTTTTCCATAGTTTACATGGTCTATATTCACATATTTCTATCCCTATCCCAATATATATATTTTCAACATCTGGGCATCCATTTCCAGTGGATAGATAAGGCTGATGACAGATAGGATCTTGGTGAGCCATCCTGGCCCATGACATGACTTTACTGCCCTTAGTTTTTCCCTAGGCTTATTCTTAGAAAATTAAAAGTGTCTGTTCAGGACTCAGAACATCAGTGAGACAGATAACTTGCCCTGCCTTCCCAGGGTCCCACTGTTACAGTAATTCCTTTCTATTGATTTCTAACCATGAGGAATCTGTCTATTCCTGATGCTCCCACTCCCATTTTTTTCAGAGACAATTACATCAGAAGTAGGTGCTAAATTATTTCCTCAAAATGAACAGAGAATGATTTGTGATGTGTAATTATTATTCAAAAATATCGTATATTCAATAGTCACTAAATGATTAAATATTTCTAATTTAGCTAATATTCCTAAATAAAATATTCACAATGTAACCCCAAATAATACCCCTAAATAGTCTGAAAATGCCCCTAAACAATCTGACACTAATGGTTCCCTTGATATTGCTAATATGAGATAATTATAAAAATAATTATAGAAACACGCACACAGGCATACATGTTTATATACCCACACAAATACTTATAAATTAAGAGGTCTCCATAATTAACTACTTCGTGATCAGACAGCATCACTCCTGGCCTCCACACTGACATGAAGAAGAGTCAAGATCATTTGAGATGCTTAACAAGGTATTTTTATTTTCTCCCCATTTTCAGACTCATAGCCTCACCTCAACAAAATGGCTGAAACATTTGCACTATGCTTGTCCTGATTAGTAATCCAATTTTACTCTGTGCCTTTCACGTTTCACCTCATAATTGAATCTACATCAACTATACATAACCCTTCAACTTTGGTTTCTGGAATTCACAATCCATGAGCAGCGAAATCTATGAGCTTTGTTTCTTCTATTATGTTTATATAACCTTGTTGTTGTAACCAATATATCCCACCATCATTGGAAACTTTTCCTGCAGCTTCTCAAGTGGTGGTTGTGTGTTATCCTGTATTTCTCACAACGTTGCTCCTGGTCAGTGATATACAGGACAGGATACAGTCTTTTTCCTCTTTGTTGCACTTTGTAGATCATTTTAATTCCCTCCTGCCTGAAATTACCCAGATTTGATGTTACTGTGTCAGCCTATGACATTCTCTACACATCTTGGTTCTTGTTTGGCCATCAACAGACCTTCTGTATCATTTCCCCTTATTCTACAATGATACTGAAAAGGGACTCATTCTAATACGACTGCCTTAATTTATGGTAGTTCTGATGTTCACGTGGCTGATCTTTTCAGTATCTTAACTTCTCTTCTCTTCTAATTTCCTTTCTCTAATGATGCTGTCCTTCAATCTTCTTCACCCACACACTTCTCTCATCATTCTATGGACTTCAAAAGTACTGGCATCCAGGGTGTAACTTTCAAGCATTTTTGGCATTGTCCGTTCTTGTCATCACTTCCTTTCGTTCCTAATCATCATCTATAGCAACCTGACTCCAGCGATTCTTCAGTTATCTCAAGACCTATAATCCATGGATTCTACTGCTTTTAACTACCTTACCCTCCCTTTTCCTGCACTTTCTTCCTTAACGAATTTCATATTCTACTATTACATCTTCCTATGTATATCCTCAACTTCCTTGTCCTCTCTTTCTCCACCATGTTTGCTAGAATCATCACTAACCCTCGTTAAATCAAATTACTGCTTCGCCTACACATTAATAATTTCCTCCTGATATGTCTCAGAAGATTAACTTATATGGGCTGCTTCAAGTAAATTTCCTCCCTTAGTAGATTTCTATTGGAATCAACACATGTAATAAACCAGGAGGGGATTGGAGGGTGGGGCAGAAGTGTTTCAAGGTGCTTATTCTTTCGACTTACTCCCCATCAGGCCATGGGTGTGAAGGGGCTACCAATTCTTTAGCTAAGCTCCAGCAGCTATGGGGTGTCCTTCTGATGCTTTTCAGCTTTAGTCCTCTATATGTTCTTAATTCTTCTATTCCCCTCAATCTCTAAACAATGGTCTCTGAACTATGATTCAGTCCTTAGATGTCTTCTCTACTCCTTCTATCCTACCCTCTTTAGTGAGCCCGTCTATTTTCAACACTTGAAATTCCAACTCCATGATAATTGGTACTGACTTTTATCTCCGGTGCAGACCTCTCCCTTGTGCTGCAGACTATAAAATCACACCACCACCTCCGCTGGGATGACTGATGGCATCTCAAACTTAGTAAGTCTAATTTGGAACTTATTTGGACATCTCAAACCTGCTTATTTTATTTTATCTTATCTTATCTTATGAGACAAGAGTCTCGCTCTGTCGCCCAGGCTGGAGTGCAGTGGCGTGATCTCTGCTCACTGCAACATCTGCCTCCCGGGTTCAAGCAATTCTCCCGCCTTAGCCTCCCAAGTAGCTGGGACTACAGGCGCCCGCCACGACGCCCAGCTAATTTTTTTGTATTTTTAGTAGAGATGGAGTTTCACCCTGTTGCCCAGGCCGGTTTCAAACTCCGGAGCTCAGGCAATCCGCCCACCTCGGCCTCCCAAAGTGCTAGGATTACAGGCCTGAGGCACCGCGCCGGGCCTGCTTCATCTTTAGCCTTTCTCATATCAGATAATGGCAGCTTCATGCTTCTAGTTTCTGAGGCCAACTTGACCCTTTCTTCTCTTATTTCCTCCCACTACCCCTTATTCATTACTTTCAGTCTCAATATTCCTTATGTTCATCCCACTTCTTGAAGTCCTTAAATATGAAAAGCATGTTTGTACTACAAGGACTTGGAACTTGTTGGATCATCAACCTGGATAACTATTTTCTAGATATGTGCTGTCTCACACTCTCTCTTCAAATTATTTTCTTAAATACCACTCATTCAAGGAGGCCTGCTTTCACTACCCTTTATAAAGTAAAAGCCTTCTCCACCACAGGCCTTCCCTACATCTGTGAACATCTCTGACTTTGCTCAATTTTTCCTATAACTTTAATCACTAATCATACCACACGTTTGTTTTGTTTCTTACTTTATTACTATATTCCCAGTGTATAGAATAGTGTCTGGAATACAATATGCGCTCAATAAATATTTGCTTAAAGAATTAATAAGCAATGAATAACACAATATAGTCACATATATGTGTGTATATACATATGTATGCACTCCATATATAAACATAAACAAGTCTGAAGGGATATTAATATTCTCTTTTTAATAATATCCCAAGACATAGTGGCTGCAGTGTAAAATGCTACATTATTAACATTCTTCAGATATATTCTAGAATTGTGATATTGAGGAATATATCTCTCTTACAAATAGAAGCAACTGGGTGTTCTAGTAACTTTATATTTTACCTGAATTAGAAGTGATTTCTTCTCCACATTAAGTCCACCATGTCTTATTATATAACTGAATGGAAACAAGCTTTGTTATCAGAGACTAGGAAACTGGATTCGATATGAATCACTAAATGATGACTTAAAAAGAAGCAATGGTCCAGGCGCGGTGGCTCATGCCTGTAATCCCAGCACTTTGGGAGGCCAAGGCGGGTGGATCACGAGGTCAGGAGAGCGAGACTATCTTGGCTAGCATGGTAAAAACCAGCCTCTACTAAAAATACGAAAAAAAAAAAAATTAGCCAGGCGTGGTGGCATGCGCCTGTAGTCCCTGCTACTCACGTGGCTGAGGCAGGAGAATCGCTTGAACCCGGAAGGCAGAGGTTGCAGTGAGCTGAGATCGCACCACTGCACTCCAGCCTGGGTGACAGAGTGAGACTCTTTCTCAAAAAAAAAAAAAAAAAAAAAAGAAAAAAGAAGCAATGATTACAAATGTATCAGACTCCATTATAATTCTAGGTTTTCTTAAATTTTGTATCACCATTTTTACTTAAATATTTGTTCAATTTATACTAATATAGTTGATAGATATTCTATGACATGTAAGCATTTATTAAGATTATAATATACCCCATCATCATTTTGATAAATGTACATGTGAGCAGTCCGCATTTGCATTATGGTATTTTGAAAAGCCTATGCAATTTAAAAGACAATAGTGTGTCTTTAATACATGTTATGACACAAAAAATTAAGCAATCTTCTGGAGGAACTCCGTAGTGTTTTGTCTGCTCTCTTAGTCAGAAATACTGTTCTGCCTTTGCTTCCTAATATGTATACGCTAAGTTAGTATACTGGTCACAAATGTATGTTTGGGGATATTTTTAATCTATAGATTATTGTAAACAAAAGAGACATGAGTACGAAGTTATTGTAGGCGTATTTTGTTACTAGAGTGGAACTGCCAAAATGCTTTTTCTTTAAAATCAGTAATCAGAAAAATAGTATTAATATAATTAATAAATTATATGAATGTATTACCTAAAAGTATTAGTAATTCTTTAATTGTAAGAGTAAAGTATTACATGTGAGGCTAAATTTTGCTCAGGCAGTCAAACCTCCCTCCAGATATACCCATTTTATTCCTCTGTTTAAACCACTAAAAGTATTTATGTCCCTTACTTTCTGAGAAACAATTTGGTAATTTCAGCGACTTGCACATACAACTTTTACTGTCAGCAAAGTTTCTTCTGGTTTTTCAAATGCTGTAATTTGCCCCTGCTATCAACATTCACTCACCATTGTGATTTGAAATGAGCAGTCTTAGATAAACAGATTGTGTTATATCCAGAGTGAAATGCTATTTTGCAATATATAAAAAAGAGCACAAATTTCCACATTCCATTAATGTGACATTCTAGAACAGGCAAAAATAAGATATGGCAGTAGACATCAGAACAGTGGTTTCATAAGATATTCCAGAAAGAGCATGGGCTGGAAAGATATAAAAGGTAATTGTCCGATTGCCAGAATGTTCTATAACATGATCAGATTGGTAGTTACTTATTGAACTGTTTACCTAATCATATTGTAGACAAATTATTGCTTAGTAAGACAAGAAAATAAGCTCACAAGACAATACGGGTCAATAAGACAAAAAGGGCTGGGCATGGTGGCTCACTCCTGCAATCTCAGCACTTTTAGGGAAGCCAAAGCAGGCAAATCACTTGAGACTAGGAGTTCAAGATCAGTCTGTAATAGCAAGACCCCATCTCTACAAAAAATAATAAAAAAAATAGATGGTGTGGTGGCATACACCTGCAATCCTAGCTACTCAAGAGGCTGAGGCTGGAGTATCCTTTTACTTCTATAAAGGCTTTAGTTTTGGTTTTATCACTTTAGTTTTAGCAGACGCTGCAGTGAGCTGTGATCACACCGCTGCGCTCCAGCCTGGGCTACAGAATGATGTAAGGGAACAGTAAGACAAGAAAAGGAAAACATGTAGTTTCCCTGCTTTACCCCCAGTGATCTCAAGGTTGAAGTGTTACTCTTCCTCTTTGCATAATGTGTGGTGTACAATGAGTACTTGGAAGGTACGTAGTAATTTTATTTGAAGGAGTGGTCTTCTTCTCTGAGAGGTATTATTACATGAAATTTAAAACATTTTGTCATGATTTCTGGAAGGTGATGTAAATTTCAATTTTTTCAAATGGTTGACCCTCAAAATAGATTGTAAGAAAAAATGAAACAAAAATAAAAATAAAAGGACTAATCTCATGATGATTTGAACCTACTTTATTATAATGCAGTTTTTTAAGACCTGTCTGTATGTGCAATGTTCTTCCTATGAAAAGTGCCTTATTAGTTTAATAATAAATAAAATCACATAAAAACATCATATAGCCAATTTTCTTTTTAAGTCATAGCCATAACAACACTTCCTGTTTTGTCTAATATTTACCTAATATAAAAAGAACATGATACATTTTTTTTCCTTTTCTTTCTAGGCAAGTCTATTTAAAAATGTATACTGTTACCAAAAAGGCCACCTAGTATTCCAGTACAGTATAATAAAAGATGAATAACATAATTTTCTTATACATAAATATAAGTAAAAAGTGAATCTTGTTATTGCTGTAAGTTTCAATAACTACCCTAAATCACCTGTAGAAATAAATCATCTATTTCATTCACATTTGAATAATTCAAAAGATGATATACATAGTTATTCTTTATAGAAATACATTCTTTAGAAGACTTTGCTGCTTTGGACTAAATCCAAGGATATTTGTAATAAGGTTAATTCATGCAGCCTGAGAATAGTATATTATACACAGAGACTTCATTGAAGTCATAATCTAAGTTTCAGTACAAATGAATGGCAAGCATGTGATTAACTTATTAAGCAAATTAGTAAAAATCCCATATATGTAATTTGTTCTGTAAAAAAAGCAACTAGAGCCCCTTCTCCCATTTTTATTTGGTCACTTAATAGGTATAATTAAAATGAATCAGAAACTGGTACGAATCAGTTACTATTCTCTCAAGGCTCTTAAGACAGAAGCAACTATATATTTCTTCAATAAACCTTTAAATAGTGTCCCGATCTGATTTTAAAAATTTATACATGTAACAAAGGAAATACTTGTTCATCTTTACACTTCTGCATTTTTCTTCAAAGTAATAGGCAAGTCGTTGTGAATGGTCAAATTACTTATGCTCTGGCATTCTATTCATTTACAGAACCCCATAAAGTTCCAGTTATAAGTTCATTGTCATCATTATATACAAAAGGAAAACAAACTGCAGTCATACATCACTTAAAGATGAGGATATGTTCTAAAAAATGCATCATTAGGCAATTCTGTCATGTGAACATCATTAAGCATACATACACAAAACTGTATCTATAGCCTACTACACCCCTAGACTATATGGCATAGCATGTTACTCCTAAGCTATAAACCTGTAAAGCGTGTTACTGTACTGAACACTGTAGACTATCTTAACATAATGATATTTGTATATCTAAACATAGAAAAGATACAGTAAAAATACAGTATTAAAATCTATGTGACCACTGACATATATGCAGTCTATTAACCAAAACATCATTATGTGACACAGAGCTGTATTGTATTGTATTGTATTGTATTGTTATTGATAGCTAACGATTTATGCCAACTACAAATTAAATAATGTACTTCAATGCTTTAAATTTTGCTCGACACATAGCACTTACTGCGTTCTAGCTATTTTGAAATATTTCAAGCTCTAATTCAGCAAAAGATATTCTAAATAATTGTGTTAATTTGGTTAATTTCTTGTTTAAATATGGGTGAATACTAAGAGTATTCACTTGAATATTGCTTTTTTTGTTATTGATATATTGTAACTTTATAGATGATGTAATTTGTAGAATATATACTCTCTAAACCCTGCTACTATTCCTCTTAGTAATCAAAATATCATGTTAATCACTTTGAATTTTGCAAAATTTCATCCTAACAATATAATTCAGGCTATAATTAATTACAATTGCTTCACAGGTGCATCTACTTTTTAAAGAGAATGCAAATTTGCTAGAAAATGGAATACCAGAAAGAATTAATTTTCCCCCCTTTGCTTGGCTACTTGTTACTGGGGACATGACTGAAGCTATGCACTGTGAAAAACAGTACCCAATAAATATTAAATCAATCTGTCTATTGATGAATCAAAAATGACAAGGGACATTGGCCTGTATTCATCTTCTTGGAAATTGGATTACAGAACTGATTTTAGAGCCAAAGCACAGTGTGTCACAACAGCCCTAGCAACTAATATTCTGGGAAAAGACTGTGACACTGACTCAACACAAATGTGTTAGCACCTATCAATGTAGGGTAAATCACATTATTAATTTTCCAAGTGCTACACATATCTGTCATAATAAGGTTGATGACAATGTTCAATGTCAGCCTAAAAACATCTGAGTATCAGAGATAAAGTTGTCTACCCATTGTTCTGCTTCAGATAGCACCCAGCTTGTTTAACTGCAAAATATTTCAAAATATTATATTAGAAGGAATTAATACCAGCAGAGTTAAAGGAGTGTTACTTTTTTTTAATCAATGTTTGATGTTACTCCTTCAATATTGCACTGTAGATCTCTAAAGGAATACATACAACGTTTGGTTCAGATAATACATGATGTATAACTCATAGCATTTTATATATTTTGAACTAGAAGAGAGCTGAAGTTTCTCTCCATAACTTGACTTCAATTTAATCTAAAAGAAGAAAAAGGGGCTCTGGAAAGTTGGGTGTAATATCATCTAATTACCCAGATGTGATAGCATAAAATATATCTATAATATCATCTACTGAAAAGTAGAATATTAAAAAATTCTGAAGAGATAGTATTGTAGTAATATTTAAATAAGTCGGGTTTGCATGGTAGAGGCAACTTGGTATACATTCAGTCCTATTTGGAGGAGAAAAAAAAGTGTTGAGTCTGTGTGTTTGTGTACATATAAACAAAAAGGGAAATAGACATGCATATTTTTATAGCTGTGTGACACAAGCACTGTAGTTCACAGTTTCTGGCTCAAATACAAAGATATGCCTAAAAAAATGTTTATTTTCTTGCATCTGTAGCTTTCAGTGGCAATACTTGTGTAGCTTTCGGTGGCAATTCTTTCTTCTCTTCTGTAGGAACACGCTTCTGTGTGTTGTTGTTGATTTTGAATTCCTCTCACACAATCTCTCTCTCTCTCTCTCTCTCTCTCTCTCTCTCTCTCTCTCTATATATATATATATATATATATATATAAAATTTCTGGTCAAAAATATTTGGAAATAATAAATTAATCATAATAATTAATAATTAATCCTCACTTTTGGAATCTCTTTTTTTCTATATATAATGTTTATGATATGAATTCTTGCATAGTTATTTTATTCTTCAAGAAGTCAAATAAATAATATTCAGTTTTATCATCAATAGCTCTCATATGACATTTTAAAGTATATGTTTGAAGTCAAATTTTTTTTGATATTCAGGTAGAATTTTTAATGCACTGTATATATTCTTAAAGATATTATATGTCTAAAAATTATATTAAGCCACACTGTACAAATATCAAAGTTTTCTTTTATGAATTAATGATAATAAATTATATATATTTGTGTGTTATGTAATAATGTAATTAGCATTTATCATATTCTACTACCCAGCACAGCAAAAAAGATACTAATGTCCAAATAAAAAACGTATTAGCTCATAAACCAATGTTATCTACTATAAAACAATAAATAGGACAATACATATGCCAAGTGAACACTTCTTAAATTCTCATTTATTAAGATACATTCGATAGTGTCAAAATAAATTAAAAACAGCCAGAAAGCTTTGAGACAGGATGACAATCAGGACAAATGTAGAATGAAATGTAGTAGAAATTTTTAAAATTGATATATCTACTTCACGTAATAAAATCAAGGAAAATATATTGAACATGCTCAGAAAAGGTGTTAACTATATAAATATTAAGCAATTGTACAGAAGCACTTGAATACTTGGGTGTATTAAATTACTCTGTAAGTAGGAGGAGGAGATACCCTTTATTCCTTTGTTATGCAAGGTAGAATAAACAAGTTAAAAAGTTGTACACCACTGATAGCCGATCAAGAGTTTAGTCATTGATTCTGTGGTGACTCCAAATCAATCAAATGTAAACAAATGCTTCCTTAAAAAAAGTCATATTTACAATTAAGTCTTTTAATCAGAGTTGAAATAAAAAGAATTAATGTTCATCTTGCCCAACATAGTCATTTTGCAGATGATTAGTCTAAGACAATCGCAGTAGAGTACCTTTCAAAAAAAAGGAAAAGAAAAAGAAAAAAAAGATTGCCAAACAAACAATTTAAAATAGAAAATTTAAATTTAACCCTATGTCTTCTGATTCCAAGGTCAATGTACTGTATAAATTGTTAGAATGTTTATTAATCATTGATTAAACATTGGACACTATGGTAATTTTTGAGAAATAGCTGTGAAGCTGATGGCTTTTCACAGTGTTTTATTGAATTTACCTTATAATAGAAGTAAGCATGATCTCAGGATACTCTACAGTAAATTACAGAATTAATTGGAAATAAAAAAACAACATGTTTTCAATTTAACTAAGAGTGACATCTGTTCTGGTCTCAAAGGTAGGAATGTGGAGTGTGTTAGGGAAGACTGATTGGACAAGATGAAATAAAGTGGAACCTCCAGGTTTGGAGTTAGCCAGGCAAAGCAAAGAGAACATATGGTTTTCACTTGTGGAACATCCTGGAGGTAAGAGAGATGACACAAAGTTTAAGGAATTGAAAGGAATTCTGTTTGATAACTCTTCTTTCCACATTTTTTTTTAAGACAGCCTTTGTAAACTCAAGGTTTGGATGGAATGTGAAGAGAGCAGTGGGGATAAGAGGCAAGAAAACTAGCAGAAAATGTGTCACCTGATTGATATAACAAACTTATCAGCAGCCTCTGAATGGCAGATGCCCACATACTCTGATTCTCATGTGTGTGCAAGTTGTGAGGGGCGGGGTGGGGATTGTTCTTCCAAAGACTTTAACATTCAGACCTCCGGAATAGATGAATGTTCCTAGTTGGCTGCTCACACTTATCTCTCAAAACTTGACTTCTGCTAGGTTCCGTCTCCTTGATTTGCAAGTCTTCACCTATTTTATGAGAGAGAGGTACCTAAGCCTGAGCATACCACATTAAAAGATATTAACCAAGATTTCCATTAGTTTTTCCAGAAGACATTCTCACTTGGAGAATGAAAACTTTCTTGTTTGCAACAGGAGTAAAAAATGCACCAAAGAAATTCTCACTATTGACTTTTCTGTCATAATGAATTTTATTTACACACTCTCGTATATGTTCAAATTCAATAATAAGAAATGGTTTTAAAAATTAGTTTTTGGCAGTTTGGCAGTTCTTCAAAATATTAAACATAAAGTTGTCTGATAGATTAGAAATGCAATTCCTATTGATATACCCAATAGGTCTGAAAACATGTCTATCCGTAAAACCTATGTACATGGATGTTCACAGAAGCATACTTGATCATAGCCAAAAGGTGGAAACAACCCAAATTTCCATCAGTGATGAACAGATAAACAAATTGTGATATGTCCATAAATGGGAAATTATTCAGCAATAAAAAGGAAGGAAAGAATTGCTGATACATGCTACAACATGGATAACCTTGAAAACATCAAGCTAATTGAAAATGCCAGATTCAGAATTCTATATATATTGGGTGATTCATGAATTTATATGAAATGTCAAAAATGGGTAAATTTATAGACACAGAAAGAGATTACTATTTGTTTAACCTGGAAGGCAGTTGATAGGGACTCACTGCAAATGGGATTGGTGTGTCTTTTTGGGTGATGCAAATTTTCTAAAATTAGGTTCTTGTGCTATTTGGACAACATTGTAAACATAGTAAGACCATTTTAACATATACTCTGAGGAGGAACTTTGTGGTTGGTACATTATATTTTAGTAATTTTTTAAAAAAAATATTGGTTGACCACGCTCCTTGTAAGACCTCCACAAATCAGTCTGTACCTTGTTTTAGATCAGCATATGGGATTACTTTGCCCCTATTGATTTCACCTTTGATACTCCAACTATAAGATAAAATTACTTCTATTTTTATAATACATATACTTCTTTATATATATATTACTTCTTTATATATGTGTGTGTGTATATTTGTGTGTATATATATGTGTGTGTGGGTGAGTATATATCATTTTATCCTGGACCTATTGACAAACAACTAGAGATGCTTTATAAGAATACCCATAATGCAAAATGAACACAATAAGTTTTTGCTAGAAAATGGTCTAATATAAAATTAGAAAAGCAGTCGATCAGAAAAAAGAATAATTTTCAAGAATGCAAGTCATAGACTAAAGTTTTTATAAATATGTCAAAATGAAAGAGTGTTCAAAGCATCTTAGCTACCAAAACAAATATGACTATTTGAAAAATTCTTAAATTTCTAAAGGTAGAGACAAATCCAATATTCAAGATTTACAGGTTTGTCGTTTTTTTCCAAAAGAGCAAACCAATAAATTCAAAGGACCTAATAAGAGTATTCTGCAAGGTACAGACTAATGCAGACTCAATGCCATCAAAGTAATAAACATAATTTAAAAACTCTAAATTGTTTTGGTTTTCTCACAATAGCCCTTAAGGCTGAATTAAGGTGTAACTCTGGGGTCTGTTACAATAAATAAACCTGATAAAGGAATTAAAATGTCCTGGTTTCAGTATTTTGTTCTCTGATGATCTGGTTTAGTCTATAGCTTCAGGTTTAAACTGTTTGAGGTATAAATAGAAGCATCATATCCAGGTTCATTAAATTCATGCGCTATTTTATTTATTTTAACTGGGTTTTTTATTGTAGAGCTAAAAAATGCAAGTTGTGTGTTCTGATAAAAGAAGTATTTTGTGCTTGCAGGGACCCCTTGAATTGGTTATTAACAAACTACAGTAAGATAATACCTTCTTATACATGTAAGAAACCCTAAATATAAGATTCAGGGTCCCAGCAGAAGACCAACTGCAGACTCACTTTGGGAAATTTTTGAAAGTTTAATAAAGAACCATTTTATAAAGTCATGGGAGTAGAGGGAAACCGCAGGAATAATTCAATATTCTGGGGGCTAGAAAGTGTAGGGTTTTTACCAACCCCAATTCTGAGGGGGCAAAGATAGGCAGGTATGAGAACTCAGACTGAGGAAATATGAAAAGGGTTGCTTTGAAAAAGCTTGTCACCTCAGCCAAGGGAAACCACCACTTTAGACAACCCCACAATGAGATTGTCAAGGGAATAACAACCCTGACCTTATTCTTCCCACTTGCGTAGATCTCCTGATTTATTTATTGTAACTAATCAGAAGCTAGAAGACAAGAAAGCCCATTGATATATCAGAGTTCCTACAGATCAACCTTCAGGGTTGCAGATCAGGATGCAAAATGATTGCCAATGGATCAGGTGAGGTGACACTAGCCTAAATATGCATCTAAATGGATGGCCAACGAACTCACAATAGAAAGGTGACCACTGTTATCAGCTTCAAACTTGGGTTCATTTTTATTAATCTATTTTTGTGACTAATAAGTCACATTTTGCATTCTTCATGGTATTGAGAAATTATTTTGTATTGAGAAAATATTCAGTATTTTGTACCAAAGGATAGTCCTTGAGTAATCATTGTTAGTATAGACAGTTTTAGTAGACAGCGAGCTTCAAAATCTAAGTTGATCATTGTCAACAACTGGGCAACATTGTTGCCAGAAAATGCAGTGGGTAGGCTCTAGGAGAAAAAAATGATGGAATGAGATTTTAAAATGGCAACAGTAATTGTAAAGTCACTCCAACATTGTACCACAGATGATCTCCTACCTGCCTCCCTAATCTCCTGTTTTAAGGATATTACCTTGGGTAAGATACAGGGAGTTCAGATGCAGATCAAGAGGGAGAACCTGAAGTTATACAATTTTGTTACTCAGGATTTCCTTGGGACAACACAACACTTTACCTAGGGCCACTGAAGTCAGTCACAAGGCACTGGGGTCAGTCACAAGGCAGAGGGAAAGAGTGGAACTCCAGGCAAGTGCCTTTACTGTAGTTTCCTAGGGAAGCAATGGGTCAGGGAGGTGAACATGTTTATGACTGGCTAGTTAGCATAACTTCAATGGGCTTTGAGGCATAGTGGCTGCCCCACATTGTCTGGTACCTGGCCTTGGAGAAATTACAGGGCTGTTTGGGTGGAAGAGCCCAATAAGGGAGGAGATAGGGAAAGTGGACTTAATCTTCTGCTCAAGAAGGAAAATTGAACAGCCTTCTTGCCAGGACTTTAAAACTGAGTCAAACAGGACGCATGAGGCTGAAACCTCGTAAGGGGATACATGGACCTTCACTGCCTAACTTTGTAAAGGCTTTTTTTAATTCTTTGGTTCAAGACTGTAGCAAAACTGTTCTTCAATGGGTCAGGATTTTCCCTATACTCCCATGCCTGTGTGTGTATGTGTGTATATGTGTGTGTGTGTGTATATATATATATATATATGTGTGTGTATATATATATATAATTTACTACTTAAATATAATTAAAAGTAATAAATATATTTAAAAGTAATAATAGTAACAATAAGGAGGAGGAGAAGAAAATTTATAGGTTCTACAGTAAGACAATCATATTATCTTATGATGTTTTTCTACAATATAAGCACATTAGGCAGATTTTATTATAATCAGTTTTTAGATTTCACAGAATGTATTATTTGATCACCAAAATAGGTCCCTTCTATTGGCACACAAAATTCTCTCTTTAATCTCTTGTTCCTCATATTATCTTACTTTCAGAATGGAGCCAATGAATACAATAAGATATTGATTACATTATTATTATTATTATTATTATTTTGAATCAGGGTCTCACTCTGTCACCCAGGCTGGAGTGCAGTGCTTTCTTACTTATTATATCTAAAACATTTGAGATGAGTATGATAATCTCCATTTTATAGATTAGAAATCTAGGACATGAAATATTATGCTTCACAAAGTCATTTAATTGTAAGGAGAAGTGAAACTTATATTAGACCCTTTGCCTTCATTACTCATGCACATAATTTCTATTAATATTAAGAGAATATACTGCTTTATAATCCCTAATTACACATATATTTGCCTGTTCTTGAGCTTAATATGATTACAGGAAACAACGAGGATGCAGTTATGACATGAGTTATGACTAATTATGTAGGTTTTTAGAAGGCATTTTATGGATATGTTGAATCAAAAGAGCATTGCAAGAAACAATGGTTACTTCTATTAGAAAATAATCTGCTTTCTGGCTGGGCACAGTGGCTCATGCCTGTAATCCCAGCGCTTTGGGAGGCCAAGACAGGTGGATCACCTGAGGTCAGGAGTTCAAGACCAGCCTGGCCAACATGGCGAAACCTCTTCTCTACTAAAAACACAAAAAAGTAGCTGGGCATGGTGCTGTGTGCCTGTTATCCCAGCTACTTGGGAGGCAGGGGCAGGAGAATTGCTTGAACCTCGGAGGCGGAGGTTTCAGGTAGCTGAGATTGCGCCATTGCACTCCAGCCTGGGCAAAAGTGGTATACTCTGTCTCAAAAAGAAAAACAAAAAAAGAAAAAAGAAAGAAAGGAAATGATCTGCTGGGAATTCCTAGTTAGTTCTTGAAGGCTTAAGCAAAACAGAGACCACTCTCAAGAACGTTTAGGCATTCAAACATTTTAGTTAAATAATAATATCCCATTCATATTTTTATATCACCTGTGACTTTTTAAGAAAATAATGGCAATTAAAATACCCAAGAGGGAAAAAAATATATAAACACACACACACACACACACACACACATATACACTCTTCTCTAAAATGACAATTGAATGAAGTTAAACAATACATAAGAAGACTTACACAAAAGTAGTGCACTATCGTTCTCCATATTTTCCATTATTTCTGTTTTTTCAATTGATCTTTCCAGTCTATTGTAATAAATATTTTTATAATGGATATGAAATTTTTTAAGCATTATGTATTTTCATGTTGCTTGGGAAGAGAAAAGTCATTATTTTATTTTTTGTTCATGACTCCATGCAGTAAACCTTACCTTGTGGAGTTTAAATTTTTTTTAAAGCATCTATAAGTACATAATTTACAACCCAGGGCTTGCACAAAAATCGCACAAATATAGTACAATAAGTCTGGCATCAACTGGGTTTTGGAATACCAATGGATGCTCCTGCAAATGCTACAGTAGATGCTAAGATGATTTTTAGGAAGTGAGTCATGGCAAATCATACTTTCCTACCATCTCTTGTTTCTGTGGTGCTATTATCTAATGTGATATAGAGATGCATTCTGCTTCTGTCCTGCTTCTAACTGTTCCCTGTTCTGATTAATGGCATATTTGGAAAAGCTACTGACATAGGAACGTGGGAGGAAATGCCACTCTGTATAAACTACGCAATCCTTTTTGCACAAGTAAGAACATTGGACTATCCTCACCATGGGTTGTAAGAATATGAATACTGAAGACATTTTCGTAATATATGTGTTTCTGAAAAGCATCTATCTCCAGACACAGTGAAAAATTTTTCTTCACTGACTGGAGGAGATTAGTTTATGAGTGATGTGAATGATTTTTTGCACAAACCCAAGAAAGACTGTGATGAGGTAACTAGCAGCTGGTGAAAGAAAATGAAGCAGCTAGGAGGGGAAATTAGTGATGCATGTGAGGATGACAACGTTCCTCATCTTTTGACAAATATATCAAAGCGTTGCTGTCTGCATTCTGTATCAGTGTCTGTCTAATAGGATTTAAAATATTTAACAATTTCATAACTATTTTGCATTACTTTATAAGGCATTTCTGCATAATTTATCACAATTGATCCTTATAACTATCCTGGGAACGCCTATATTTTTAAAAATAAAGTCAAGTCTCTGGGTGAATGCCCACAAAATATGTCCCATCATTCATACACTGGGATGAATGTTTCCCTTCCTGCCCTATCCTCACTTTAAAACACTCAATGGAATAAACTGTAAGTAGATATGAATCATAGTAGCAAGTCTTGAATATCATAACCTTTCAAAAATATCTCTTCTGTTTGTGACATATCAGAATTAATGAGCGTGAAAATAAAATGCCTGAGGCTGAAACCTCATAAGAGAATGCATGGCCCTTCACTGCCTGACTTTGTAAAGACTTTTTTATTCTTTGGTTCAACACTATAGCAGAACTGTTCCTCAATGGCTCAGTTAAGTTTGTGTGTGTGGAGCGGGTAGGTGAAGTTAAAAATTACACACTCTATTTGTTCACGAACTCAGTCCTTGTTTTAACATTTGTGTGATATTCTCTAGCAGAGAAACTTCTTTTCAAAGGATAAAGGCATATTTGCTGAATGATATTGTTGGAAGTAAATAATGATTTCTCTGAGTGCATGCATATGGTAAAAGAAAACTAATTCTGGGCTTTGATATTTTAAGAAATTTTTGAAACATGATTCCAGATTTCTAATTGCCGTCTCTATTTAGATATTTATCATTAAATTTGTATTTCATTATTTAATGCTTTTAAAAGAAATTTTTAGTTTTTCTTTTAAAGTTTGGGAGAATGTTCTGTATTTTTATTGTATTCCTAGAACATTCTCATGCCTCCGGTTTCCACATCTCTAATTACATGAAATACACCATGTAGTATATAGCACTTCTCTCAGAATTTATAATATGTACTTATCTCTTGACTTCTTTCCAGTCTTTTACATTTCTTAAATGTCACCAATGAATTGTGTCAATCTCTTGGCAAAAATGACATATTCAAATGAGCAAGTAACTAAGCGCGCGCACACACACACACAGACTGATAGCCAAATAGATAGATAAATTTATCTAGATTTTTGAAATCAACATTTCATAAAATTTATATTCTCCCTTACATTAATTATTACCTCGTGAATAGAATTTTCATTTCATTTATTTATTTAGGTTTAAGGATCTAACCTCATGCATTTGTTTTGTTTTAATAAACACTGAACTTTTTTGCCTAAATCAGTATCTAGTTTTATTTATTTCTTTTAGATCAAAACTGACAGTATTTCTGAGTCATGTGATAAAAAATGTGACATATTTGATCCATCTATTCTCCAAATACATTGGCATGTTTTGGCAAATATGTCTGAATGCATTGTTCTCTATAAACATTGGACTGACTTTGAATTTAACTTAACCCCTTGATAGTACTAAGTAGCATCATCTTAAAGGTTGTTCCAATTTGATAATCAACGTATGTATTTAAATTTAAATTTTATCCTTATTTCACAATTTACTGGTGAATTTGAACATTGCACAATATTTTAAAATAGTCCTGTAAGAAGTCTCACATAAATTGAAATGTTCAACAAATGTAATTTTAAAGTATTTATTTAATTTATAGCATTTTAAGGTAAGTCATAAATTTAAAGTAAGTCATAAATTCAATTACGCTAAAGAGAAAAATTCAATGAATTCACAATATTTATATTTGTTTTATAAGAGTCTATGCTAGACATAAAATATATTCATTTTACTCACACAATTTTTAATACATATAGTTATTCCAGGCAAGAAAATAATTACAGTTAGCTAGCATCTTAAATAATTTACAGTAATTTCCAACATTTTTCTAATGGAAAGTGTCAGTGATAGAGACACTTTTAATTTATCTGATATGATACTTTTAAAATGAGAATGACTGCCAGTAATAAATTTTTGCATCTTACATTTTACAAATAGTTTCAATACCAATATTTTATCTGTCCTATTCATTTTGTGAATTACCACAGGTTTTTAAAAATTATTTATAGACCCTTTTGTAATAATCTACTTGCTACATGACTTGGAAGCTTGAAAGAAACACTGCTGTGACCACTCAATCTCCTTCACAAGTTTTTTAGGGCCAACAGTCCTGCAGATTCTCAATGTTTGGTAAGAGACATGCTTAGATTGTGCTGTTCCTACAACGCAAGGCCAGATAACACTTTGACCAACTTCAGAAAAAGTGGTAAGTACATTGAGAAACATAGGTACGGTCCTATTAGTTTTTATGTGTTTGGTACACAAAACATTTCTCTGAAAATGCAGTAACTTTTTAGTTTTTAATATTTATAAATTTTAAGCATGTATTTTAAAATATTGTCTTAGGTTGCCTCTTTAACTTAGATTTTAACGGTTCTAATAAAAACAGAAGCAAAAATAATAAATCATAATATTTTAGAAATCATACTGGAATTCTATAGCATATCAGATGTAATCATTTAAGTTCCCCTAAATAAAATACATTAAATATTGTCGTATGACAGTAACAATAATAATAGGTATAGGGTGAAATTCATATTTTTGGAGTGTTTTTTGTTCAAAAATACCTATACCTATTATATTATGCTTTTTAAAATAAATTATGATTTATGTTATGCATGTGTACATTTTAAAAAAGTTGTCATTAAGGTAGGTGGATCTCTAATCACACAGTGTGAGATCTTTGTAAATAGCTGCCTTTTAAAGGCAATCGAGAAATTTGTGTGTTAACATAGTGTTAATCAGTAATCAACTTTTGACACAGAGCACTGATTATTTGTTTTATAAAAGAAATAGACACATAATTAATAATTTTAATAATTAAGATAATAATTAGCTGTGTAACTCTTGCTGATACAATGATAATCCGAATTATGTGTCCTCAAATTCTGATATTCCTAACTAAATAGATTATAGGCCAGGTGTGGTGGCTCAAGACTGTAAACTCAACACTGTGGTTGGCCAAGGAGAAAGGATCACTTGAGCCTAGAAGTTCGAGACCAGCCTGGGCAACATAGTGAGACCCCATCTCTACAAAAAATAAAAAGTTTAGCCAGGCATTGTGGTATGCTTCTGTAGTCCCAGCCACTGGGAAGGCTGACATGGGAAGATTGCTTGAGCCCGAGATGTCAAGGCTGTAGTGAGCCTTGATTGCTCCACTTTACTTTAGTCTGGGTAGAGAAAAACCCTTTCAAAGCAAAGCAAACAAACAAACAAACAAAAACTATAGAATTATAGAGGTTTTATATAATTTTATTTTCATAGAACTGGACATATTTGATCTTTGATCAATAATGAGGTATTTAAGTTGCCCATTGTAGCCGACTCTTATTTCTAGAGAACATCACTATATCTTTCTTCTTACATATTCTGCAACGTGAACTTGTCTCTTTCTTATCAAGAGATAGAGTCTATTTCTTCATTCACTTGAATGTGAACCAATAAAGTATTTCAGAAGAGATGCTGGACCAGTATCACTTTAAATGACCTGGTGGCCTTATTTCCTAGGTACCCTACAGTAAGTACAATTACCCTGAGACAAACAGACCACAGAAAAAAAGCCCAAGTCTCATGCATCCCTTAGAAAATGAGATGAAATACAGAGAAAGGAAGAGGACAGAGATGAAATACAGAGAAAGGAAGAGGACAGGGCACTTAGATCAGATGTGTAAGTGAGGAAACCATGTGGAAATGAATCCTCCAGTGGCAGACACTCCATCTCCTGTCACATGAATCAGATATGCACCACCAGCTGGGCCCTTCCACAAAATCATAAGTAAATGAAAATTTACATTTTAAACAACTAAATTTTGGCTGGGTAGTTATGCAGCAATTGATATGTAAGACAACTATGCTCACATGGAAGAAATATAAAAACAAAAATATAGTTGATCAAATTCTATTAATAATATGGGAATAATAGATCAACAATTGAAACTAGACTGTGTAATGTACTTTTATTATTTCTTGACACTTTAATACTTCTTTTTCCCTTTTCAGAATCTTCCCTTTCCCTCATCTGATGCTGTCAATGCTATCATTGCCCTGCATTCATTTTTGTAGGTGAATGACCCAGCATAGACAATGATATCCCACTCCTCCTGGATGTACTGATCACATTAACGGCTACACAAACATAGATAGTAAGGATCCTTTTTATGGTTTTATTACTGATTCTAGGAAGGAAGAAATCTCTCTTTTTGAGATGGATATAACTGAGAACGCATTGATACTTGCATTGCCGTTGTCTATAGTAAAGGCAACATGTGAAAAACCCCTGCCTGAGAATTAAGTGAAAAAAATATATAAAATGGATCAAAGTGAACAAGAAAGATACAGACAACAGATGATATCTTTTTAACTCCTGGACCCAGTCATGCCTAAAGCAAGAGCTTTCCCTTTGATTTCAAAGTTATGCGAGCTGCAAAATATTTTTTTTTCTTGAACTGGTTTTAACTGCCTTTTTATTACTGAAAACTAAAGTCCTGACTAACCAAACTACATGGACCACCATGTGATCTGTGAATGTGAAAGGAATAACAGAGATCTTGTCTATCATGAATGTATTATGAAGTTCAATATAGGTTGAAGATTATTTGGCATCTAATATGTACAAAAACTTTCACTAGACACATAGAGGTGTGTATATATGTATATGTATATACATATGCACACACATATGTATCCCTATATTATACATGCTCTCAATGATTGACAATCTGTTGGGAATTTTTATGTTATTATATACTATAAAAGCTATTGGTTCAAAAAGTATGAGAATTTTGAGAGAAAATTGTCATTACAAAGCATTTCCATGGGAACATAAAATTAGTAGACACTGGAAAGCTAAAACTTCCACTTAGCATGAGCTTTTTATGTTCTTAATTACCAATGTGGAACTCTTCGACAAATTAGAAGAGTGCTCTTTTCCTTTCTTCCCATATATCCAAACTAATTATTATTTTTATTTTCACTGGCTAACCTCATGGGGCATACGTCTAAAGGCTATAGTGTCTGCCTTTCGCAACAATTTTCTAAATTCCTTTATTTCAATTGCAGTAAACTTTTCAATTTCAAAACAGATTATCTCCCTCCTGTCACACATATCATATCCTTGTACAGTCTACAGGTTTTTCTGCAAAAAAGAAATTTTTGAAAGATCTTCTATTTCTGATGAATAAATAAGAATTTTCTTTTGAAAATATATAATTTACAAATAAAGCAATTTATATACATGTATGTACTAAAAAAGTAGTGAGATATATACATAATTCTAGACACATCCTTTATTTTTTCTCTAGTAATTTATTCTAGTAATTTCAAAAATGAATCTCGATTTCCATGTAAACAGACTGCTAACCATTTTTAAATAAAATTTTAATTATATTATAAACTCTAAACATTAATTAACAGCCATCAGTAGTGACCTAAATCTTTTCTTTTCCCCAAGCAACTTCGCTTCTTATTCATGTAATTCTATATTTTATTTATAAATAGCAATCTGAAATAAATACATAAAAGTACTATCTCTGTGTAACTTAATAAAATTATTCTATTAAATGTTTATTGAAAGTTATAAAAATTAATAATGTTCATTGATTTCCATTAAAGGTTATGTGGAAAAAAATGTGGAAGTAAATATACAGGTAGGTGCCTCCCAATTGACTCTAGTTAAGCAGAATATAGAGTATATAATCTATGTTAATGTTAATTGACATGCATATTGACTTTCATATCTCTCTGCACCTGATGTTTTCAAGAATAATAGCAAATTAGAAATATTTACATAAGATTTTTACTCCATTATTTATTTCAAATTTATGTATTTATTTATTTATTTTGAGATAGAGTTTTGCTTTTTTCACCCAGGCTGGAGTGTAATGGCACAATCTTGCCTCACTGCAACCTCTGCCTCCCGAATTCAAGCGATTCTCCTGCCTCAGCCTCCCGGGTAGCTGGGATTACAGGCACCCGCCACCAGGCACGGTATTTTTAGTAGACACGGGGTTTCACCATGTTGGCCAGGCTGGTCTCGAACTCCTGACCTCAGGTGATCTACCCGCCTCAGCCTCCCAAACTGCTGGGATTACAGGTGTGAGCCACCACACCCGGCCAAGATGGTGAAACCACGTCTCTACTAAAAATACAAAAATTAACCAGGTGTGGTGGCAGGCACCTGTATTCCTAGCTACTCAGGAGGCTGAGACAGGAGAATCACTTGAACGTGGGAGGAGGAGGTTACAGCGAGCAGAGATCGCTCCATTGCTCTCTAGCCTGGACAACAAGAAGGAAACTCCTTCTGAAAAAAAAAAAAAAAAGAAGAAATAAAAGTAAGCAAATATTAGGAGAATATTGTTGAAAGTTATAGAATCTTAGTAACATATGACTCTAATTATTTGTTAAGGTTAAAATGCAAAAGTGTTGGAAAAATATAAAATATTCTTTTTTTATTACTACCTTGATTATAGATTTGATTTTACATATACTAAATGTCCATGCTTAAGTAGAAGGTTAACAGATTGTACATGTTATTATTTTTGTTTCTGAACCAGTTATTTAATAAATTTTGTATTAATTAGGCCAGAATTTATTCTATAAAGAGTGAACTGGCCCTCTGCAACATAAAGATTGAAAGAGCTGTCGGTTATACAGGGAGAACAGGGGCCCTCTGGCCCACTGTTTATCTTCAAAAGAGATGCACCCTGATAAGGACTTTGTTCTAGTTGAAGTTAAGTAATGAGATGGGAGAAAATTAATTTTATATTTAAGCAACTGCTCTCGAATGCATATTTAAGAAGAAATTATCTTCCCTATATTCTTTAAGAGGTTTACTCTGGCTTACATTGTTTTAGAAAAACTTCAAATGAATAAGGCCTATATGCTTACTTATTATATGTATCTTGAAATATATTTAATGCTAGTGTATGTATACTTTTGATCTTTCTTGCCTTTTCATTGTGATCAATGTAAAAACTGTTTATCTAGTTATACTTTATAAACTTCAAAATATCTAGTACATAGATAATTCTAACAGATAATTTTTACTAAAAATTTGACTTGTTGACTTTTTTTAGCAGTAGGAACTAAAGAAAAAAGATTCTTCCATATTTCCTTATCTTTAGGCTAAACTATTATCTACTGTTGCCATAATTACTGAAATTGTATGACATGAATTTGTTTTTCCCCTTCCTTTCTCTTATCTCCACCCCAAAGCCATTTGATTAAAATTACAAGTCTTGACCAAACTTCTTTTTGAATAATTCCAACATACTTATATAAGCTCCTTTGGGGCATTGTTCAGTTACAAATATCATATGAGATATATCAAATCAGGAGGTAATACCCAGAACATTTATACATAATTATTTAAAAAATTATAAATAAGGCACATTTGTGCTTAGGACCAACCTGAATCTAAATTTTTAAAAGAAAGTTATATGAAATATTGTAGGCATTTATAAAAGATCACATAGAACAATTAAAATTGTTTTTTCAGATTTACTTAAAAGCTATTTAGCTTTCAGGGGAGTGAGCTAGGGTTGAGCTGCATAAATAAACAATGCATCAAGAAATACAAACTGATGTGGGAAATAATTATTAATAGGACAGCTTGAACAGTATCTCATTAAAATAACAACTTTGAAGTCAACCGAAGTTAAAAAGTAACTTCTCAGAAGTCTGATAAGTTAAAATTCACTTTAAGAAGAGAAATACATAAAACTAAAAAAAATTAACTGAGAATGAATTAAAGGAGCATTTTATTCCCTTAAATTTGGGGTAGAAATGTATGACCATAATGTCTTCATAGAGTCTGATCTATTGTCACTCTGAGGACTCCAGAAAACTATTAGTTGTGTTCTTTTCCTCTTAATTGAGACTTAGTTTGATTTTATTCAAATAAATTAGCCTATGCTGTGCGTTATTGTAAATGCTCCAGTGAACACACACATTTTCAAATTGCAACTGAATTCAACTGATGCATTGCCATGAAGGTACCTTGATGATGCAGGCTAACATTATACAGAAGCTCAATTTAGATCCTCATTAAAGAAAGTTTCACGCAAGAAAATAAAAATCTACCTATCATGATAGTGGATTAATACCTTTTTGGAATATTTACTCTATTTATATTTCTAACTTAGAGTGTTGTGTCCTGAAATGTATAAAGAACTTAAAGGAAATTAAAAGAATAAATTGTATTACTTGATGTATAAATAACTTAAAAAATTATAGTCACTGTAAATATGGGCACCACAGGTGATGTGAACAAAGAAAAATCTGCCAGGGATTCAGTAAACTAGGGACAGTGAAGTGGTGTTGGTACTAATAGCTTTTAAAAATTGAAGATGTTTTGAATTTAAATTTAAAAATTAAAGATTGTCTTATAATTTTGGATTGCATAGGCAAAGAAAATAGGGTTTGGATTTACCAGTAGATACCCAGGTAAGCATATTGAAAGACACTCTTGAAATACGTAGTGGGCCACAGGAGACTTATCAGCATGATGAGGTTACACCACTCTGTTGATGATGTCCAGCTTGGATTACAGCAATAGCAGTCCTCAAATGAGTTCATTCCAGGACCATTTATACTCTTAAAAATTATTGAAGACCTAGCAGTGGCTTTGTTTATGTGAATTATATTTCTTTAGATTTACAAATTGGAAATTAAAATGGAGAGAAAATTGAAATAATTATTTATTTACTAATTTAAAAATAACAAAAATTAACTACATGTTAATTAGCATATTTTGATAAAATACAACATATTTTTCAAACAAAAGAAAATGTACTGAGGTGAGTGACATTGTTTTACATTTTTGAACTCTCTAGAATAAACAGCTTAATATAAGATCATTACATGCTCTTATTTCCTCTGCATTAAATGTGTTGCTATACAATGTTTTGGGTGAAGTGTACCAGGAAAATTTGGACTCTACACAGATACTTCATGGAAACAGAGAATACAGGTACCTCCAGAGATCCTCAGATCACATATTAAGAACCACTGGATTAGAGGAAAGATGGGCGCTAATTATAAGACTATGATAACACTTGGGCTGTTAGGTAAAAAAGTGCAAAACATTTCATCCAATTGCTTAATGAAGAAATATGTATTTTTTAAATAGCCCAGACTTAATTTCAAAGTAAAGACATTTTAAATTCTCTTATGTGAACCCTGGGTTATAACTGAATATAAATTAAATAAGTTTCATGTCACTACAAGGAACAGAATTATTGTCATTAAAATAAAATTCTGGAAAAGTAGTATTAAGAACATACTTAATGTCATTAGCTTTCTTCCTTTGTAGTAAGCCAGAGACAACATAAGAAGAAATACTCACCTTATCCCTACTAGTGTCTTTATGCCTCTCATGGAAGTGAATACTCAGTTGTAGCCTAACATTTTTATGGTGACACAGTATATAAATATGTGTTTTATATTAAAAAGTGATTTATTACTTTACATCTTCCTTATCTCCAATCTCTCTCATCTTTCTCCAACATCTGTCCCATCAATATATCCATCAAATTATTCTCAGTAGTGGTATTGTTGATTATTTATCTAATTATGTCTCATGACCACCTAATTATTTGTGCCGTGTCAGCCAAAGGCTCTATTTCTTAAGCAAAGATGACCATAGTCTGCTGACTTAGCATTTCTCTTGTGACATTCAGCCAGTCCATCAGAGTGTAATACTGATTTCTCTTCAATAAATTTTAGTCACTGTAAATATGGACACCAGAGGAATAGACTCTATAGGAATATAGAATATATTAATTCTATATAGTGTTGGAAGCAAGCCCCCCAAAATCTGGCCATAAACTGGCTCCAAGACTGGCCATAAACAAAATTGCTGCAGCACTGTAACATGTTCATAATGGCTCTAATGCTCAAGCTGGAAGGTTGTGGGTTTACGGGAATGGGGGCAAGGAACACCTGGCCTGCCCGGGGCAGAAAACCACTTAAAGGCATTCTTAAGCCACAAACAATAGCATGAGTGATTTACGCCTTAAGGACATGTTCCTGCTGCAGGTAACTAGCCCAACCTATTCCTTTAATTCAGCCCATCCCTTCGTTTCCCAAAAGGGATACTTTTAGTTAATTTAATATCTATAGAAACAATGCTAATGACTAGTTTGCTGTTAATAAATATATGGGTAAATCTCTGTTTGGGGCTCTCAGCTCTGAAGGCTGTGAGACCCCTGATTTCCCACTTCACACCTCTATATTTCTGTGTGTATGTCTTTAATTCCTCTAGCGCCACTGGGTTAGGGTATCTCCGACCTAGCTTGTCTTGGCAATATAGATTATATAGGAGTATAGAATCTGTAATTCTTGTAGATTTCACAACTATCCATATTAACTACATCTGCTTATAAGTCAAGCTTTTCTACTTATACTTTAAAAATTTCAGACTGGTATAATGGTATGTACTTTACAGAAGACACAAAACACTTATACATGTATAAAGTATCTGTATAATCAAATAAATAATAAGGAAAATATTAATGGGAAATAGGCTTCATTAAAAGAAAAATAATCACTTTTCTCTCAAAGCACTTAACTGTATATGTTTTCAGTTTGAGTTGCTGTCTTGGGAAATCTATACTCTTTGTTCAAATGTGTCTTATTAGCCACATCTTTTATCAGCTTTCTCCTATGCCTTTAGAGAACTCTATATTGAACGATTTTGCTGCTTCATTGCTTTAACCATTGATTTTGGGCAGATGCTCCCCAATGTATATCTGTATTTCTTCACCCCAAATAGAACTGGGACCATAACTGAGATTTTCACCTTTTCTCACTTCTTTCTTGATCTAAGTGTTCTTTGTATTCCTATCACTAGAATTTGGATCATGTATTCTACTTGCTGTGCATCAAGTATGTCAACAGTGTCCAGACCATTATTTTTGTTACCACGCTAAGAAGTGCTTAACTCATTCAAACACCTGCCGTTTTATCTCCTGTAAAGCAGAGGTGCCTTTTGCCATTCTACTGTTCAAAACCATTGATACAGCTGATAGACTAACATTCTGATCCATGAATGCTAAAAAATTTGAGAATGTTTATTCTTTTATCCCCTTCTGCTCTTCTTTTTTTAAGAATTCCATGGCCAAATAGAATCATGTTAAAGCAGTCTAGGGTTAAGCCAGCCAGCAAAATAATTGTCACAGCCTATGGCAGAGCAAGGAGAGATGATGAGGATCAGCTGTTATGCAGACAACTTTGAAGTTAAAGGAAAGCAACACTTGAAAGTTGGTGGTGGGGAGAGGAAAAGGGGAAACAGTTCATTTCCATACAAAGATGTATGTAGGATAGCTGCTTCAGTCACTGTCAGAACAAAAACATAACTGGAAATTTTCAGGGGCTTCAGCAGACAAACCAAATGAACTGACTAGGTGATTAAAAACAAATGAATAAAAAAGGATTCTAACTAATGCATGCAAACCTGTGCACTGTGCACTTAGTGTCTGACTCATTCAGCCTTGTGGGATGTTGAAACACCTCTTTTAGTGCTTTAATTTTTCATGATACAAATTAAATGTGCTTCACATTAACGGAGTACATAAAATGGTCAGGGTAATGAAGGTGGGCAGACTGTCACCTGAATAGAAAGTATAAGTGGTTTTCAAAAAGTGGCCATGTTTCATAGTTCCTAATCAAATACTACAAAATCAAAAAGCTCTGGAGATTGAAAGAATTTGCAACTCAGTTGACAGCAAAACCTGACCCTACATAAAACTATTGGATAGAACTGACATAACTTTATGTATGGTCATTGTTTACCTAATCTTATATAGATATTTTTGTCTCACTGTAAAAACCGAGTATGTTTGGTCAAGGACTGCTACACAATATACTACATATAAGTATGATACTACGTTACTGAAATGTGAAAAATTGCAAATGTGAAATATATGTCACCACAAGATGTTTGGATCAACCATAGTGGGTATATAGGCCTGTATAGGTGTGATTGTTATAGAGGAGGACTCCATGACCCTCTAGAATCAATTAAAGAGGGAGACCTCTCCTTTAGCCTCACTGCCCATGGCAATGAGTTATTTTTATTGGAAAATTATAATCAGTCTCAAGTGAATATTTCATAGGAAAGATTATCTTCTCTAAAATTACGCTTCCATTCTAGAATCCGAGAGGAAAAATAGGAGATATATGTATATATCTCATCTATCTATCTATATATATATATATGCATTTGTTACTGGAAATGATCACATTAAAAACCATTAAGTTCTATCTATTCTCTTTAGGATCAAGAAAACATTCTGATGTTTCAGGTTTCACATCCAGGTATGACAGATTTTACTGTTGCTGATGTTTGTTTTTCCTTTAAAACTTCCCAGGGCAAAATACATTATACATATAATGAGTCAGAAATGATCGTTATTCATTTACAGGCTCTCCAGTTAGAGTGAAATACTGTCGTTTTTAGGTCATTGTATAATGATGTTTCTGGCATACGTGGTTTGAATAAAGTAGCTTTCAGTGCCAAGGTTAATGTATCAACTTCAGGTAGTTGCTTTGTTGAATTTTGTTAAATATTCTTGAGCTTCTCTAACCCTCTGAGACAGACTGAAATGAAAAGGAATTTAATTAGAGTGTGCTGGGAATGTAATGTGATATATTAAGTTTTTATTAAGAAAACTGGTGCTGAACCACAATGTGATTGGTTCTGAAATTATCCTCCTAGATAAACAGAATACACATATGTGCAGATAAGCAAAGTGAATGTAAAGGGAACTTATCAAAAATACTAATTCAATGGAAGTTTACATCAAAAAGTGATTTTAAAAGAGGAAAGCTTTCTCATGCCATGCAAAGTTCAAAATTAAACCTCCTGTTTCATTTTAAAACCAGTGTACAAGAGTGGTTATTCTGTGCCAGTTTTAGTCATTGGAATTCGGTCCTCCTGTGATTAATTTCAAAGGCACATTGGTTTGGGGTTATTATTAGGTTAGTCTATTAATGCAAAATCTGTCAAGAAGGCCTTGAAGTGGAAATCAAGCAGATGCAAACAAAGTTCTAGTTTAAAATACCTGTAACCCAAGGATTTTACTATTTTGGTTTCATTTGTTAAAGGGAGCTCAAAATTAAGTAATTAATTCAGTTGAGCTATGTTTTATGGCAGCATGTCATTTTTTTTTAGAATAAAACCACTAATACTTCTTAGAAAAAGCTCCATTTCATAAGTCTATGAATGTTAAAGAGTTAACATGTATCCAGTTATTTTATTTATTTTGTTAACAACAAATTAATCAAAATGCATGCAAATAACAGCATTCTGTATTAGGCCATTCTTGTGTTGTTATAATGAAATACCTGGGGCTGGGTAATTTATAAAGAAAACAATTTTAATTTATTCACATTTCTGCAGGCTTTACAAAAAGTATGGTGCTGGCACCTGCTTCTGGTTAGACCTCTGGAAGCTTACAATCATGGCAGGAGGTGACGGGGAGTTGCATGCCACTTGGCAAGAGCAGGAGCAAGAGAGTCAGGAGGTGTCACACTTAAAAAAATTATTATACTTTAAGTTCTGGGACACATGTGCAGAACGTGCAGTTTTGTTACATATGTATACACATGCCATGGTGGTTTGCTGCACCCATCAACCCGTCATCTACATTAGGTATTTCTCCTAATGCTTTCCCTCCCCCAACCCGCCCTCCCAACACCTCCACAGGCCCTGGTGTGTGATGTTCCCCTCCGTGTGTCCATGTGTTCTCATTGTTCAACTCCCACTTATGAGTGAGAACATGCAGTGTTTGGTTTTCTGTTCTTGTGTTAGTTTGCTGAGAATGATGGTTTCCACCTTCATCCATGTCCCTGCAAAGGACATAAACTCATCCCTTTTTATGACTGCATAGTATTCTATGGTGTATATGTGCCACATTTTCTTTATCCAGTCTATCATTGAAGGGCATTTGCGTTGTTTCCAAGTGTTTGATTTGTGAACAGTGCTGCAATGAACATATGTGTGCATGTGTCTTTATAGTAGAGTAGGCGAAGGATATGAACAGGAGGCGCCACACTTCTTTAAACAACCAGATCCTGTGTGCACCCAGCGCAAGAACTCACTCATTATCGTAAGGAGGGCACCAAGGCATTTATGAGGGATCCACCCCCAGGAGCCAAACACCTCCCACCAGGTCCCACATCCAACACTGGGGATTACATTTCAACTTGAGATTTGCAGGGAACAGACACCCAAAACATATCACATAAAAAAAGATCGAGATAAAACTAATATACAGCTAAGTTTCTTTCCAGAAATTTAAACTCTGACATTTTTTTCCGTTTTTATTTTTTTCCTTGCCTCATCAGCTTCACTGACATTATCTACATGAATTTTGTTTAAAATAGTCATGGGTGGTTATCTCTTAAATAACAAATCAATTTCAATAAAGCTGAAAGGTAATTTAACACTACAATATTTTATGTGATTTTAGATTAAAATAATTCACTATTTAAACTACTGGAGTAATTATTTAACTTTACTTTTAGCTTAGTTCTATGTAAATATAGGCAATGCCATAAGATAATCAGCTCTTATACTTTATTATCACTTTGACTATCTCAGGCATCTACTATTTGAAATCAATCATCTACCTAGAGAATTTTCATACCTTTTTAAACTCTATTATTGTTAGTTTAATATAGAATAGTTTATCTTTTTGACTGGAACTCTGTTAAAAGTATCAAAACGTCATTTCATTTTCTTGTAATTACTGAGTTAATTTTCTTAAAACAACTGGTTCATCTTAAGTTTTTTTTAAAAATGTCAACTATATTTTCTCAAAAGTAAATGTATACTAGACCATATTTAGTATAAACCCGTACAAATTTTAAACCATTTCCCCTCAAGAATTGCAGTCTCTTTGATAAATCGGTGTTACTTTCAGTGCCTGTATTTAAGAACACTTAGTATGTCTATTAAACTACATTCTCAATTTTAAATGTAATGAATAAAAAATGAAGATATCTACCATATATGAAATAGTTATTTTCCTTATGCTTGCATAAAGAGTGATTTTTCAGTTTTCTTTTCTCAAAACTCCTATTACTGTTGATGTAGGTATAAATTAAGTGACAAGCACATTATTTTAAGAATAGATCAAAAATAATACGTTATTATATTAATGTAGTACAATGTTTTTATCAATACTTCAAAATTTTACCTTTTTTAATGGTAAGACACCGCAGTATCTTACTTAATTTCTCTCAAATTTTAATAATTCACAGTCAAAAATTTAAAAACAGGTAAGAATGCAAAGCACCATGAGCAAGAGCCAGAGAAAAACAAAACAAAACAACAACAACAAAAAAACAAGAACAAAAATAGGAGCAAGAAACACCAGGCAGAATCAGAAGATATTGAACTAATGAGATAATGAACAGAAAATAATTATATTTTAAATAAGAGGAAGATATTCATTAAAAATTTGTTGGAGAGACTGGCATGATTAAAATTTGAAATGGTATATTCATAAGTAGTAGTTATATCTTTATTATTATTTAAAACATATTTTGACATTAGAGGATATGCTTTGAAATTTCAAAGACAAAAAAAGGATGAAAAGTAATTATGAATTCTTTTTTTTCCTATGAAAGACTGTTATTTTCAAAGTCTTGTGTTTTGTTAACACTGATTGATAGTGTCTGATTAGAAGTAATGCCAGCAGATTATCAAATCACTGCCCTTTCTTGCTTTTTTGGAGTCATTTTCAACAATTCATTTTAACATCTTTATTATTTTATTGCTCTAAGTTTGATATATTACAGAGATGTTTTCATCTTACTATTTGTTTGCCAAAAAATTGATACCAAGAGAAGACATGATTCAATGTAGTTAATTTATTTATGAATACAAATGTTATTTACAAGAATCCACTTTTATCAAATATAGTAGAAATGTTTGTATTTCCCTGTGCTTGTATGTATTTGTCTTTGCACTTGTTATTCACATAATTAAGATGAAAATATAAATTATAATAAGGTATACAAATAAGGAGTTTAAACAATATCTGAGGAATTCATTAAAATACTAATTTTATATTATTTAAAATGTATAATCATAGATACCGTGATTACTTAGCCTAATTAAAGTCTATAAAATACTGCAATATATATATATGTGCATATATACATATCTGTGAATATTTTAAATGCATGACTGCAAAAGAGTAAAAACTGTGCAGAGACAAAATAGTAAATGAGATTATTGAGATATAGACTAGTACTAAAACTGCATTTTATCTGAAAGGTACATGTCCACAATGGGTGAGCCTGAGCTTAGTTTTGAAAAACACATGATGAGAGGTAATTAACAAATAAGTTAGAAGTTTAAGAAAAGACTCCAATACAGAACTAGCACACCAAAAGTAAAGCGGTATAAAGGAGAAAAATAAATAAAACAATTTTCTTATTTTCTTAGATTTGGTGGTAAGTGGGTAGGGGAAAGAAGGTCCTTGATAAATTGTAATAACAAGTTGATTTTCTTCACAGAGTTTATAGTTGGATTTTCTCTATGTATTTGAAAGATAAAATCAAATAAGTGGAGAATTTAAAGTGATGTCCTCTTGGTAAAACCTTGGGAAATGACAGAGAAAAAAGGCAAATTCTGACCGGAGAACTGAAATTCTACCTAGTTCAAATATCTCAAAACTTTAATAATTCACAGTCAAAAATTAAAAACCAGGTAAGAATGCAAAGCACCATGAGCAAAAGCAAGAGAAAAACAAAACAAAACAACAACAACAAGAACAAAAATAGGAGCAAAAATCATCAGGCAAAATTAGAAGATACTGGGCTAATGAGATAATGGACAGAAATTAATTACATTTTATATGCTTAAATAACAATATGCCTAAAAATAAAAAAAAGAATGCACACAGTTTTTGAAATAACAATCAGTTTTCAAAATGAACCAATTAGAATTTTCAGAACTCAGTAAGTTATGAGGATATGTAGACAATATAAAAAGACTTAAAAGAACAGAGACAGAAGATGAATTACATACAAATAGTTTTTAGGCTTATAATTTCCTTATAAATAAAAAGTGCATGTCAAAAGTCAATCAAATGCTGTCTTCCATGTGCTGAGTAAAAATAACTTTCAGCCTGGAAATATAAATGAGCAAATAATATTTCAGGATTAGTAGCAATACAAACACGTTTTCGAATTGTAAGAAGTAGAATGAAGAAAAGCTGTACAATTCACATTAATGGAAATTTTAAAAGGTATTCTTAAAGAAAAATGAAAATAAAACCAAATGAAATATCTGAGTTTATAAATATGTGGGAAATTCTAAATAAAAATTAATGGAAAATACATAGTTAAGTTTAGTTTTTGAGTAAAAGTAAGAAAACAGGAACAGCGTGTAAGTTAGGAGTGGAAAAGAAGGACATAGGAAAAAAGATTCTACTGATGATTGGGAAGAAGATAATTTCTTTTTCACTATAAATGTCATTTATTTTTTCCAGCCGACTAGACTTTCTATTACTTCCGGCTCAATGTCGACTAAAATAATAATAGCAGATATCTTCCCCTTCCCTCAGTATCAACTTGTTTGTTGTTAACTAACTTGTCTTTTAAATTGTCACATAATGAGAAAAATGTACATTTTAAAAATATTTTTACTTTAATTTTTCATATGCTTAAACTTTTAAATTTGGAGGCATAATAAACCAAATATATGTTTCTTCCTTAAATTTTAAAATCAACAAATAATTTTATAAATAATTCAAAATTTGGTGAGCATATGAAAGTACACATAAAGTTTTCTTCCCCTTAATTTCCTAATATGATGTGCAAAAACCAACCAGTTAATAATTTCTATGCCTTCGTGCATGAGCGCATGCTTAAATTTTCCATCCTACAGAGAATTGTTGAATTTACCTGTGTTATAAGTATAGAATCCGTATTGCTCATCATTAAGCAGTCCTGCTTACATTCCAACATTAAAGGCATTGTCAGGTAAAAATGGCCAAACTTATATTTTTCCTAAAAGTTAATTACTATTCAAAATGATATATGATCTTAATCCTGAACCCTAGGCAAGTCTCTTTTCTGTTTAGAGTAGTGGAAATATATAATGTAGGAAAAATATAATGAGACTTTAATTTCGTGGTTTTTATTAGTCACAACATTAGCAGCTGCATTCCTTCTTTACTAAAAGATCCTAGAAATAAATGCAGGTGTTCCTGAAGACAAATGCAAATGGTATCAACTTCCTCATTTTTTAATCCACTGAGTGTTTAATTATGGAATGCTGTCTTTAGATTTTATTTATGTTAATAGTAATGCCTTACAAAATAGATTCAGAGCAAGAGTTAAACTTCAGAGCAGTTCATGAATTATTCTCATCATCAATCTTGTCACTGTTGACAAATTCTCCATATGTTCACAAATTCCCATGCTTTGCTTGATTTTTAATGTACATTCAATATTAATACTTGAATAAAATCACATGCAAAATTTAAAAGGAGGATAGTAGGCCACTATGCAATTTGGAATGTTAAATGTTATTTTACCTTTATTATTACTTGTTGCAAAATATTTATTTCTGCATTTTGCTATATCTACTTACATATGTGTCTTATGTAATCTACTAAAGTGCAATCAATTCCAGGCCAAGGTTCATGTTGTATACAGTTTTATATGTTTAACAACAGTTATAGGGCAATATTTTAAGAGAGGTTGCGAGGTGGTGCACAAAAAAACTTATAAATAAGAGATATACATAAAATATTCTGTATGACTGCCTCTGTTCTTCACTGTGTAATAAAGATTTTGAAGGCTTGGGTACTTTGCATATTTTGATACAAAGTGACTTTAGGGAATATTTAATTCATCTCTGTCACAATTATCTTATCTACAATAGGAATGTAAAGGGTGCAGGCTATATTTGAATATGTCCTCTGAAAAATTTAGGTGTTGCCAATTTGGTAGTATTAAGGGGTAAGACCTTTAAGAGGAGATTAGACCATTAGAGTTTCTTCTTCATGAAAGGGATTAGGTGTCCTTATAAAGGGGTTTCACAAGGTAGTTTGTTCTCTGTTGCCCTTTTGTCATGTGAAGACAGGAGAAAGCCCTCTCCAGATGCCTTGGTCTTGGATTTCCCAGCCTCTAGAACTGTAGAGAATACATTTCTGTCTTTTGTAGGATACTGAGATTTACATGTTCTAGTAGAGCAGCACAGATGGATTAAGACAATACCTATCTCATTTTTATCACAAGGATTACAGATTTTGTAAACAGCAAAATATAGTGCCATATATAGAAATGCTATATAAATATCAGCTATTATTATATTGATTAATAGTAACAATGTTCTTATTTTAGCACTGATAAAAGTCTGAATATATGCTAAGAGGCTTCTTCAATATCCCCTGAAGACAGAAGGATATATTATATACCCAGGATAAATGACCTCATGTCAGTAACACCTAAAGGAACACTTACTATGTCTCAAATCTCTCACTCATACCCAGAGCTTCCTCTCACACTAAAAGAAGGAAGGTCCTACTCTGGTAATATTGGCTCAGCTTTCTGGTTGTAACTAAACCCATCTCTCTTGGGAACTAGTTAATAAAATATCTTCATGTTCTTTTGCTATTCAAATCACCTCTTCTTCTCTTTGACTCCCTCCCCATACTCTGTTCTTTCCTTTATTCTGTAGCTTTCTATAAATTCAGAAGTGAATTAGTTAGTAGTTAGCTCTATACAACATGCTACATGGTTAAATTCAGATTTGTATTGAATCTTTTTCTCTAATCCACTGTTTATTTGGAACAATTTTGTCAGATGGACTATGAGATTTTTATATTATTTTAATTTTGTATTCTACATTTTATTATTTCTGATTCTCACAAAACTTTTCCAAAAGTATGTGAGAGAGCCATGTCAAATGCAAACGACTTGCCTAGTTTTAAGCAGCTAACAAATGACAAATATTAATTTTAATTCTTAGTTATGAGACTCAAAACACACTATTCTAAAAGATTGACAAGATATAGATTATACAAGAGGAGTAAAAACATTTGCCTCAGAGTTCAACAAGCATAACAAATCTCGATGCTTGTCATTATAAAATTTCTCATAGGAAAAATTAAAATGTGGTTACAGGGATTCATAGACCCCAAAGTCATCTGTGGATAAAATTCAGAGTTTGTGAGCTAAAATAGGAAGATTTACAGCATAATTTTCATTAATCAATAACAGAAATGTATTATTTCTTACCATTACAAATATGGGCAACAAGTCAATGTAGCCTTATCTTTGTTAGCAATAGAATTCAAAAGTTATTTTATATAATACTGCAGGTTTTGCAGATATCTCAAATCATTACTTCTACTCATCACTACTTCAAAAGTATAGTTGTTTTTAAATGTGTTGGTATATTTTATTTTATCATATGAATAAGGAAACATATACTACACATACTATTCCAATTTTGTGGGTTGGTTATTCTTACAAGTACATTTTAATATAATTTATTTTATTTTCAAACTTACTTCTTATATTTTATATACTACAAAATTATTCTAAAAAGTGGTCCGTAGTCTTCACCAGACTGTCAGAGGGACTCATGGAGAGAGAAATTGAAAAATCTCTGTTAGGGTGTGTGACACTTGAAAACATGAATTTTAACAACTAATCCCAAACATTGGATGACTCTTTCAGAAAAAAATAGCATATGAATTTCTTCTATTTCATAGGGTATAAAGAAAAACAAACATATAATTACACTATTTATAAAATGAAAGTTTCAAATATTTAATTAATGAGATTAAAACATTAATACAGGGTTAGCATTGTAAAGTGGGCTGAAATATCTCAAAATACCAACTAAAAGAATATATTAGGTATTTTTTGAGAATGTATTCATTAAACATTTACTAGCATGGATTTCAGGTCAAAGGAGAGGTGAACTTTGGAGAATATCCAGTCATTGTAGTCATCATGATTCTTTAAATGCTGGACAGGTATAAGAGAGATTTAACATAAAAGCAACAGATAATAATACATAAAAGGAAAACAACAATAATGCAAAGGAATGGGAATAAGAACGAGATGTCAATTTTCCTTTATAAAGAATAGAAATTTCATTGTACATATAATGTTTCTTGACCAACTTGAATAATCATTTTTTTTTCAGGCTATCATAGATCCTCAAGAAAGAAGACATCACTTGCTAAAGGAAAACTTGGGTGGTGATCAGAAATTCGGTTTCCATCCTATTCAATCTTGAGAATCTCACTGTCTACAAAACTGCTTGTCAGGAAGCAGGAGAGTTTCAGAATTAGATAATAGAGAAGTTCAGTGAACTGTAATGTGCATTAAGAAATAGAGAATTACAATGCTACCTTCGGGGAAAATGTCCTTTGATTCCACTATGATACCCTGTCATTGACCTGCATTAAACATAAAATGTAATATTGATTTTTAAATGCATTTTGAAATTTATTCTACACATACTACTTAGATGAGAAATCTTTTATATTTTAGATAAAGATTGTGATATTTGTACATGATAACTCCAACTGATTTTAAATTAATTCTTCAGCAAGCCACGATAATTTAATAATTTATCTAACTACATGAAATTAATTAAATCTAACATTTATAATTGTTACAGATTCATGCTCTTTTAGTCAATTCCTGCCACTTGTCCCTAATTTGACTTTAACACTAGCACCCCCCAAAAAAATCTTATTCAAGGAGTCATGCCATGTGTGAAATTGCAAATAAAGTCTGATAGAATACTAAAAATATTTTTAGAGAAAAAAATCTTGTTTTACTACATTTTTTGGTTGTTTTGCAGGTGATTGTTTATTACAACATTTTTTAACACCTGCTAGGTTATGGGGTGACATTCTACTGGAGTAATCAAAAAGGAAATACAATTTTTTGCCAACTAGTTGCTCAGATCTAATAAGGAAAGGAATAATAAATAAACCATTAAACTATGCCACAATATATCACACATAAAGGTGCATTTTGTTTGAATACAAAATATCTGTTTTTGAAAACTAAATATGTACAATAAAGCACTTGGCATACTATTTAGCACCAAGCAGACAAAGAAAAAAGATAGTTGTTTCACTATTATACATTTCATTTTTGTGCTATTATGATGTAAGTGATCAAGTGAGAGGCCCAAAATTACAGTATTCTCAGGAAAGATCAGGAGAGCTTTCTATTAAGCTCATGAAATTATTTAGTTGATTTTTAAAGAGAAAGTAGAATCATACAGAAAAAAGAAAATGACTGCAGCAATGACCGAGGAGATGAATTCTGCTGTGCAGTATAAAATCTACTGCTAAAATTGGAAGGACACAGAAGATGGTGGTATTGGTTCTGCCTTCAAGTAACTCCAAAACAAGATATACCCTGTATATAACTATAGTAGAGAAACAAACAAAGACCTATGGGATAACCGAGTATGCACTGAGCCTTTCTGACTATTAAAAATATCAGACTAATGATTCTAAAACTATATTCCCCTTTGTAGAAATATTACAGATAATGAAGTTTTGGTTGGCGAAAGCATTAAAAAATAGCTAAAAGGGTGTTCAAACAGCCAGATACTCCTTGACATGCATATTTTACAATATGTCAGGAAACTAAAGGAAGGAATGAAGGGCAGGGGAAAAGGAAAAATAATTATTGGTATGGGGAGGAAATATGTTATTTCAGAGATACTGAAGAGGTAGATCTCAAAAACATTCATCATCAGCTCTAGAAAGCTAACGGAGGAAGGAGGCATCTAGTTTAGTCTTCCATCAACTGTCTGTGGTAAAAGGTTTCTGACCAATATCTCTGCAATACATAACAGAAATAAATTACTAGCAAACAGTATCTAAAAACTCATAGATATATAATTTATTTTTTTATGACTAGGTTCAACAGACATAAAATTACATTTTAGCACAAATAGAACAAATGCATAGGGAAAAAAAATCTTACATAAGTGAACACTTTAATTATTGGAAGTGTACATACCAGTGAGTAGTTGAATTTTAACTAAACTATAATTGAATAATTTAATAATAAATTAATCTTCTAGTTAATTTAATAATAAAATGAGCAATTGATTATATTTTGTGATCCTAAAATTTTATCTAATAAAAACATGGGATTAAATAGTAACTCCATATTAGATGCCTCTACACACAATTTGAACTAACAATAATGTACCAATTTTTACACATTTTATTATGACAATTGAGACTGTGTCTTCTTTCTTAATATAACTGAGACTGGATTGATGATGGTGCTACACTAAGGGAAACATGCTGAAATTACTGGTATTGTTTTTTCTAATTTTTAATTGTAGTAAATTCATAACATAAAAATTATTATCTTAACTTTTTTAAGTGTAAAGTTAAGTGATGTTAAGGAAATTCATATTGTTTGCAACCATCACTACCATCTATCTGCAGAACACTTTTGATCTTGAAAAACTGAAATTCTGTACTCACTAAACAATAACTCTCCTTCCCCTTCTACCCTAGCCACTGACAACCACCATTCTATTTCTGTCTCTTTGGTTTTGACTATTCAGGGTACCTCATATATGTGAAATCACTTGGTATTTTTTTTTTGGCTCATTTCACATAGCATGTCCTCAAGTTCCATTCATTGCAGAATTTTCTTCTTTTTGAAGGTTGAATAATATTCCACTTTATGTATATACAACATTTTATTTGTCTATTCATCTGTCAATGCACACTTGGGTTGCTTCCATGTTTAAGCTGTTGTGAACTATTCTGCTATAAATATGGGTGTACAAATAACTCTTCAAGACCCTGCTTTCAATTCCTGCACGTATTTACCCCAAAACAGAGTTGCTGATCATATGGCAATTCTATTTTTAATGTACTAAGGAGCCACCATACCATTTTCCAGTGGCTGAATCATTTTACATTCTCAGCAACAGTGCACATGTGTTCTAATTTCTCCACATTCTCAGCAACCCTTGTTATTTCCTGTTGTTTTATTGTGGTTGTTTTGATAATAGTCATTCTAATGGATGTGAGTTGGTGGGCCTGACTGTGGTTTTAATTTGCATTTCTCTAATGATTAATGATGTTGAGCACCTTTTCATGTGCTTATTGGCTATGTGTATATCTTTTTATTTTTGAGAAATGTCTGCTCAAATCCTTTGCTCATTTTTGAATTGGGTTGTTTTTATGACTGTTGAGTTTGGGGAGTGTTGTATATATTCTGGTTACCAATACCTTATTAGAAATATGATTTGCAAATATTTTCTCTGATATGGTTTGACTGTGTCTCCACCCAAAATCTCATCTTAAATTGTAGTCCCCATAGTCTCCATAATCCCCACATGTCAAGGCAGGAGCAGGCTGAGGTAACTGGATCATGGGGGCAGTTTCCCCCATGCTGTTTTCGTGATATCCAGTGTGTCTCATAAGATCTGATGGGTTTAAAAGCCTCTGGCATCCCTGTTTGTACTCACTCTGCCCTGCCGCCCTGTGAAGAAGGTGCCTGCTTCTCCTTTGCCTTCTGACATTATTCTGAGTTTGCTGAAGCTTCCCCAACAATTTGGAACTGTGAGTCAATTAAACCTCTTTCCTTTATAAATTACCCAGTCTGGGGTATTTCTTCATGGCAGTGTGAGACTGGACTAATGTATTTTTTCCATGCTATAGGTTGCCTTTACATTATGTTGAAAGTGTTTTTGATGCAAAGCAGTTTTTAAATTTTCATAAAGTTCAATTTATTTTTTTTCTTTTATTGTATAGCCTTTGGTATGATATCCATATCATCATTGCCAAATCTAATGCCATAAAGCTGTTGTCATATATTTCCTTCTCAGGGTTATACTTTATTTATGATGTTGGATTATTTGATTTTAAGTTTTCGTATATGGCATTAAGTAAGGCTTCAACTTTATTATTTTACATGTGGATATAAAGTTCTGCTACCATCATTTGTTGAAAAGATTGTCCTTTTCTCATTTAATAGTTTTGGAACCACTGACAAAAATCATTTGACTATATATACGAGGATCTTTTCTGGGCACTTTTTTCTATTCCATTGATCTATATGTCTGTCTTTATGCCAGAAAGACACTGTTTTGATTACTATAGTTCTGAAGTAAGTTGTGAAATTAGGAAGCATTAGTTCTCCAACTTTGTTCTTTTTCAAGATTGTTTGGTTACTCAATGTCCCTTAACATTCCATATGAATTTTAGTATGGATATTTCTATTTCTGCAGAAAACATAACTGGATTGTGATAGGAATTGCAATAAATCTGTGGATCATTTTGGGTGAGTGATATTAACATGTTAGTAATATTAGATCTTCCAATCCCATTAACATGGAATATCTTTCCATTTATTTATGACACCTTTAATTACTTTCAGCAACATTGTGTAGTTTTTATTATACATTTACCTTCTTGGTTAATTTCTATGTATTTTAATGTTTTTGATGACGTTGTTGGAGTTATTTTCTTAATTTATTTTCAGATTATTCACTGTTAATCCTTAGAAATGCAACTGAATTTTTTTTGTATCAACTTTGTATTTGGCTACTTGTTTGGATTTGTTTACTAGTTCTGATAGTTTCCCTTTTTGTAGAATATTTAGGGTCTTCTAAATATGAAATTATGTCATCTACAGGCAGAAATAAGATTTATTCCTTCTCTATTTGGATGCCTTATATTTCCTTTTTGCGAAGATAGAAAATTATTTTACTCACAATAATTTCAAGAACTATGACAAATAGGTATTGGATATATTTGAAGGAAAAAATAATGCTTATTAAATGAAAACAAAACAACATCTAAGCACATGAGTAATTATAACCTGCTATTAGATAGAAAGAAAATTTCGTAGAAATTATAATTCTTTCAATAAGTAAATGGAATGCTATTCTACTTAGAACTCAGATAGGGTTTTCTTTACTACTGAATATTCACAAGTTATAATTGTATAATTAATTGGGTATAACGTGATACTCTGTTTCATTTATATAATGTAAAATGATTGAGTCAAGCTAACAAACATATATGTCATCTCAAGTACTTACCATGTATTTCTTTTAAATGAAACATTTTAACCTTTGACCAACATTTCCCCATCTTCCCTCCCTCAACCTCTGGAAGTCATCATTCTGCACTCTGTTACAGACCACATTTTCTTTTATTTATTTATCAATTATTTTTTATTTTTAAATGTTTTATTTTTAATTTTTATGGGTACATAGTAGATGTATATATTTATGGGTTACATGAGATATTTTGATACAGCCATACAATGCATAATAATCACATCAGGGTAAATGGGGTATCCATCATCTCAAGCATTTATCATTTATTTGTGTTACAATTAATTCTGATTATAGTCTTTTAGAATACCACCAGTGCACTGGCTCATGCCTGTAATCTCAGCAGTTTGGGAGGCCGAAGAAGGTGGATCACCTGAGGTCAGGAGTTTGAGACCAGCCTGGCCAACATGGTGAAAGCCTGTCTTTACTAAAAATACAAATATTATCCAGGCATGGTGGCTTGAGCCCAGTTAATAGAGAGGCTGAGACAGGAGGATTGCTTGTACCTGGGAGGCAAAAGTTTCAGTGCCACTGCACTCCAGCCTGGGTGACAGAGTGAAACTCCACCCCAATACATTTTTTAAAATAAAATAAAATATGTAATACATTATGTTGACTGTAGTCACCCTGCTGTCTTATCAAATACTAGATTGTATCCTATCTAATTATGTTTTTATGCCCATTAACCATCCCCAATTCTTCAGCCCTGTTACCCTTCCAAGCCTCTGGTAACCTCTTAATACTCTCTATCTGCATCACATTTTCTTTTTTTTTCACTTTTTTTTTTTAATTTCCAATTTTTATTTTAAGTTCAGGGGTACGTGAGTAGGATGTGGAGGTTTGTTGTATAGGTAGATGTGTGACATGGTGGTTTGCTGCACAGATTGTCCCATCACCTAGTTATTAAACCCAGCATCCATTAGCTATTCTTCCTGATGCTCTCCCTCTTCCCACTCCACACCCTCCGACAGGCCCCAGTGTGTGTTGTTCCCCTCAATGTGTCCACATGTTCTAATCCTTCAGCTTCAAGTGAGAACATGTGGTATTTGATTTTCCATTCCTACATTAGTTTGCTGAGGATAATGGCATGCATATGTTCATTGCAGAACTATTCACAACAGCAAAGACATGGAATCACCCATCACATTTTCTTCATCCTTTCATCCATTGCTGGACACTTAGGTTCATTCCACAACTTGGCTATTATGATTAATTCCAAAATGAACACAGAAGTGCAGATATCTCTTTGGCATATTGGTTTGAAATCCTTTGAACATGTATATACTACTTTCATTGTCTCAATGTCTAGCTTCTTGAAACCCATTGCTTTATTTGTTTTATGAAGGAAGGTGAGTAATCTGATCCTTTTACTACATCTTGAGAAGAATTTAAAGTCCTTTATGATATTTTCAGGTATAGAAATACAGAAATTATACACAGTACAGTCTTGCGAAGGTAACTGGATGGGGATAGAAGACAAAACATTTTTAAAAAATCTCAGTGAAAGATGTATAAAAAAAGACAACTAGTATATTATTAAAATTAATTTTAACCCTTTACCAAGCACATTTCATATATATTTACTGAATACATGTTATTCTGTAAATCTGCTAAAATTATATATAATTATAATTTCTTTTTAGTTTAATGTATTCTATATCCATATATTACCTGTATGAAGCTATTTATTTGATATAATTAACATTTTAAAATTCTATTGTATTTCTTTATTTTTGATGAGAACTTTAGCAGATACTATGTATCAAGATAATCCCTTACTCCATTGTTAAAGTAGTGTTCAATTATGGGACATGTCATAAGATACTACAGAAATTATCCTTTGTTTTTTTGCCATGAAGAAGCATGTTGCCTTCCTTCCTTTGATGAAATTTCCAAAAAAAAGTCTTACTGTTCAATTAGCATATTTCAAAATTGAGACCAAATTGTTTTTAATCTTGTAGACATCCTGTTTATTCCATAATTCAAATATTCTTGACAATTTTCTCATGATAAAATTCAATTTTAGTCTGCATTATCAATTATTTACAATCAACTTTCATATTTTCCTAAAAAACAGAGAACTATATTTAATAATATATATGATATGATATATAAAACATTAGCCTTTTTATTATTCGTAGCTTTACTGTGCTTGTAAGCACTCTTTATTTCAGTTGACTTTTTTTTCCATAGAAATACTTTCTCAATGAAGGAAACATTCTGGTGATTTATATTCTGGCATAGGCTCCTTTATGTGGATAGCTATTCTATTATGTTTCTGTAATTGTAGCTGTGTCATCAGATTCTATTTCAAAACAAATCTTTAACTCCAAATTGTATATGTTGACAATGTAAACCTTCATAGTTTGGTTCAGTACTAATGTTTGTCAGCAATTAAGCTGAAAACAGAAATCTTCTCTTTATATCACCATTATATTCAAATCACACATATCCTCGAAGAATATCTACGTTAAAAATATTTGCACATTCATCACATTATAATGAAATGTGCATTACTGAGTGTATTTGTCATATAACTTAGCTAAACGATGTGCTCTGATGTTATTGGAAACCAATACTTAAGCTAACTTCTTTGCCACATATTTATTCAACTTATATGAGCACACTCTTTGAGCCATGCTGTGATTAATGTCTTAACAGTCATACATATGTATTTGTTTCAGTCTTAGTCTTAACTTAGGATAACCACAAAATATTAAGTTCTATATGTAAAATATTGTACATTTGCTTCTACTAGCTTTTAAATACGGTTACACTTTTTTCAAAGAAATTCAGAGTGTTTATGATTTATGTTGTTATGCTTTTTATCTTAATGCCACTTATATAAGATTGTCATGAGAGTTTCTATTTGTTTTCACTCAAGTTGTGCACTCATGGATTTGTAGCAGTTTATAGAACACTACTCATTTCTGCGATAGAATTGCTATAGTGTGACTCCAACTGTTCAAATGTTGGTGAGGTAATCAATGAAGTCAATATAACCAATGAAAGAAAATATGGGAGCAGAACATGTATGTGGAGATTCGGCATGGACATTTTTGTTTTTATTTTGCCTGTGAACATAGAAAGTGTCATATACTTATAAGCATCTCAGTATAAATAAATTGCAGTTAAAAGAAAAATTGGCCAGTTCCAGTTCTTAATTCAGAAAAGGAACCAGAAGACAATGTCTATATGGGGATGTTTTGAATGAAAAGCACCTAGAAAACATATACACTGGAATGTCCAGTGGCATTTAGAATTATAATCCAGGGATTCAGAGAATTCAGAGTTAAAGGGGAAATATAAATATCCACAGAGAAATGCACAAGTATAGACGTACTAGTTAATATAAAATTAAATACTGTGTTATAAATGTTGCATAACTTATACACTTGCTATCATAAAAAAACGAATGTTATCATTAGGAGAATTCCTGCACTAAGAAACACAGAGAATAGTAGTCAGAAGAAAACATGAAAAGTAGATCTGGACATTAAGAGGTACACAGAGTTACAAGTCTCAAATATTGCTAAAAAAGTTATAAAACTCATACCACATGATTTAAGAATTTGTAGATTCCTGGTGTGTTGAGTATTCCCGAGGCCACACTTAGGCTCAATAATTTGTTAGGAAGATGCATGGGTTTCAGAAAAGCTGTTGTACTCATGTTTGGAGCTTATTACTTTGAAAGAATACAGACTAACATCAACAAGGGAAAAATATTAATAGGACAAAACCTGAAAGAAAGCAGGGGCGAACTGCCAGGTGTCCACTCCCAGTGTAGTCCCCCAGGGATGCCCATAATTCAAACGGCAGTGACAAGTGAGAACACATGCCAAGTATCACTGATAAGGAAGATTACCATAGCCTTTCTATTGGAGTTTTTTTGTTGGATGTCTGTCATATTAGAACACAGCTCCCAGGGGACTGACTTCAGTTACCAAGACGACAGTTCTGCCTCCCCACCTTGAAGCAAAAGCAGGTATTCACCATTAATCCCATGGTTAGGACATTTAAAAAAAGAGTGTGAGAGAGATTGGTTGTATTGGAGTAAGGGAATGAATTTCAGAGACTTGAAAATGAGCAAATCCACACTGAAGAGGCAAAGTCAAAAAGAAATAATAAGTTTAAAAGAAGGTGTGTTTTATCTTCTCTTTCTATTCTCCTTTTTTCCTTTTCCCTTGCTTCCATTTTCTTCTTGCTACATTTCTGAATAAAAGGTGGATCTGAGAAAGATGTATTTTGTATAGGAGCCAGCAATGGGAGATTAGTTACATACAATAAGAGTAATCAAATAAGTCATAATCAATTAACTGTAAATAATAAGAGCTAAATTTCTATCAACTAAATGAATAACAAATATGGAAAGGGAGGGCATACACACACACACACACACACGTACATGCAAAGATACATATTGTATTTGTCAGGGTTCGTCAGAGGGACATAACTAGTAGGATAGATGTATATATAAAGGGGAGCTTATTAAAGAGTATTGACTCACACGATCACAAGGCGAGGTCCCACAATAGCCTCTCTACAAGCTGAGGAGCAAAAAAGCCAGTCTAAGTCCCAAAGCTGAAGAACTTGGAGTCTGATGTTTGAGGGCAGGAAGCATCCAACACGGGAGAAAGATGTAGGCCAGAAGACTAAACCAGTCTAGTCTCTTCACACTCTTCTGCCTGCTTTTATTTTGGCCATGCTGGCAGCTGATCAGATTGTGCCCACCCAGATTGAGGGTAGGTCTGCCTTTCCCAGTCCACTGACTCAAATGTTAATTGCCTTTGGCAACACCCTCGCAGACACACCCAGGAACAATACTTTGCATCCTTCAATCCAATCAAGTTCATACTCGATATTAACCATCACACACATATATCATAGCCCTGTCCACGGAGAGTTATTGGGAGAAGTTTCAAAGCAATAGCAGTGAGCAAATTAGGTACCAAGATCCTGGTTTTTAAATTCCATTTTCTAGTAAAAGAAACCATCATCTCTTGGAGAAATGGTAGATTCCAGGACAGAGAAGGGAGAACATAAGATGAGTTGCAAGCATCTTTTTGTGCCAGAAAGTAAGAAAATTGTCATTCATTTCCAAAGGACAGAGGGCCACCATCGAATCTGGACCCAGGTATTGTTGCTCACTACTTGAAAGCCAAACATGAGAGGCAAGTGTTGGTGGGAAGAAAAGCAGGTTTAATTAGAAAGCCAGCAGACTGAGAAGATAGTGAATTAGTGCTCTAAAGTACCATCTTAAAATTTAAATTTTACCATAGGACTTTAAAAGGGAAGCTTGGTATGAAAAACCTACGGGAGTTGTGCAGAGTGTGGGGTCTGTGAGTTTTGTTCCACATAACTAACTTCAGCCCAATGGTGGCGACTAATTGCTCGTGACTCCCTCTAAGTGGGAGGACTCTGTGATCTAGGTCTATGACTGATTTGTTCCAAGATTAGCCTCTGGAATTTCTGAAGCAAGAACATAATTAGATAAGCATTCAGTGACAGAAGGGCATGCCCAGAGAGGGAAGGAAAGAACAAGTGAGAGGGGAGGGAAAGAAGAAAAATAAAGTGGGTGACTGAAATGTACTTTTTATAACTGAGATCCCTGGTAAGTGTATGCGGGGTTTCCACTGGCCAAATCTGGAATAAGTGTATCATCAAATAATTAATATTGTTAATATATTTTAATCCATAGAGCAATATAGTAATCCTTAAATACATACTGATATAAATAAAATAAAGTCTGATGAAAAATAGAAAGTGTACAAAGATTCGGTCTTTCCAGAAAACACACTTATAAATTAAAAATAGAAAATGAGTAACTACACATTGGGAATGCCTAGCAGGCGCCAGCTTCATCAAATAATCAATTTTAACAACATCAATATTGGACGATAAAATAAAGTCATGTGCCACTTGATAAAATGGAATGAGAAGAGCATGGCATTGCTGATGATATTCCTGCCAAAAATGCATAAACCGAGCCTCATGATAAGGAAATATCAGTCAAATCCAAATTGACAGGCATTCACCAAAATAACTGGTATATAATCTTTAAAACTGTCAAGGACATGAAATCAAGGAAAGACTCAGGATTTTCTCCAGATTAAGGGAAACTAAAGAGACATGAAAATTAAATATAACATGACATAATGTACTAGATGAGTTTGCTCTAAATAATATTATTGGGATAATTTTCAAACTATGAATGAAGCATGAAAATTAGATGTTAGCAATGTATTGATTATTGCTTCCTGATTTTTATGGTTTTATTGTGACTTTGTAGGAGAATGTTCTTGTTATATATATGCACACCTACATAAAGCTTAAAAAGATATCTAATAAGGGAAAGAAAAATGAAATGGCAGTAACTTGAATGATCATGAAGTTCCAAGAAAAGTGTTATTAAGATTGAGTTTGTAAGCCTAACACATCATCTGATAAAGAGAAAAAATGAAGATACAAAAATATTTAATATCTAATTGAAACAGCAAGGTGCCTGATGGTATCAAATGGTATCTATAACTCCATGAGAAAGAACAGAAGCCAAGATGTCTTCAGAGTCAGAGGGAAAAGTGAAGAACAAAAGGTCAAGCTAAAGAAGTATCTTCCCTTACAGGCAGGATAAAAGCATTCACATCTGATGACCTGTATATCTGCAATGAATAGGAGACAATGGCAGAACATAAAATACTTGGAATTCTAAATAAATGTTTATTGAAATGAATTGATTAACAGACTTCAGTCTACAGAAGAGTGATGAAAACATTTATAATAGAGTTAACTATAGTTGAAAGGAATGAAATAAAAGTTGCACTAAAGGTTTATGTGTGTTTAGAAATCATTCATTTATATAGAAATAAAATACTACTTTATATGATTCTTTCTGACTACTCTCAGCTGCTTTAATGGAGGTTTGAACAATAATACTACCTTATATTTGCATTGTGTTTCAAATTTACAATTATTTTATTTACTCATATGGAAATTCTTTAAGTTTCCAATATGTTGACTTGAAACTTGAGAGATACAGCTATTATGTGATTTTTCTAAGCACTTGATATTAGTAAGTGGCTGACATGTCAACTGACTCCAAAATTCTGTGACCCTTGGTCCTCATGTTTGACACTTAATGTTAATACGCTAATCTAAAAATTGAAGGGATTTATATTGGTGAGAATGCACTTGAAATATTTGCTCTATCTGGTCTGCACTGAACTATTCACACAATACAAGGCAATCCAGATGAAGATTAATGGAAAATGAAAATCAATCAAGGGTTTGTAGGTATGGTAAAGGGAAAGAGCAGGTTTGTTGAAAAGAATGAATTACAAGAATCATGAAGATTAAGACAATTGTACAAAGAAAATATTTGTGGATTTTACCCTTTCATAACCTGTATGATCTTCTAATTTCATGATCTTTATCCATTAAACAAAAGAGTTGATCATATGCTTTATATTTCAATTGTGAGGTTGTTTATTTTAGTGAAGTAGAAAGTGCCTCCACACAAATACAAGTAGAGTAAAACAACAGCCAAAATCCTCAGAGATATTAACATGCATAGGAGTTACAGCCTGCTTTTCACCTCTCTGACTTGAAGGCTTAAACTCTTCAATGGTTTTACTGCCCAGGAGTGATGGGCTCCAGCAGGGTTAGCTTATCACTGCAAGCCACACTTGGTTACCAGACCTAACTGAAAGAAAATGTAAAATGACTTCAGGCCTTTTGATATTTCAATGCAGATTATGTAATATGTATGGAAGAATAGGAAATGCTCAACATCACACTGAAATGTAGGCTTAAGTCCACAATTCATGAATTACATTTGATAACTCATGAATGTCTCTAGTACAATGTGAGCATAGAAATAATAAGAACTAACAATTTGGCCTTTGGAATAACAACACAGGTTTAGACAGAATTCAGAATACATAATTTCTACAAACAATAACATTGTATTACTTTAAATATTATTTCATTTTAGTTTTACAAATATTTTCCATCCTGATATTGCTGCCTCAATGCTAGGTAAGAGTACAGGGTAAAAGCACATTGAAATCTTCTGTAAGGGTAATGATAAATCAAAGCTCAGTTCAGAGATGTGCTTCTTTTTGTCGACTAGGAAAGTGTTTCAGCCACAGAGGGCTGCTGATCTACAGGTGGAATCCCTTTAGGTAGACAACAAATCCAAGGAGATTGTTTTTGGAACTTGAGAACACAGCAAAGACACTATGTGATTGGGTTTGAAGTAACCTCAATTCATCCACTTCCAGATAGAACATTGTACTTTCTTCTTATACAAAATTGTTATAATAGATGCAAAACCATGTAAAAAAGTATTTAGATGATTTCAAATAAATTCTGATTAAATAATAAGATGCAAAGTAAATTTTAATACTAAAAGTAGCACATCATGAAGAATGGGGTATCCATCCCCTCAATCATTTATCCTTTGATTTACGAACAACACAATTACACCCTCTAAGTTATTTTAAAATGTGAAATTAAGTTATTATTGACTATAGTCACCCTATTGTGCTACCAAATAGTAGGTCTTATTCATTTTGTTTGTGTGTGTGTGTGTGTGTGTGTGTCTGCCCATTAACTATCCCTACCTTCATCCAGTCTTCCGCTACCCTTCCCAGCCTCTGGTAACCATCCTTCTACTCTCTATGTCCATATGTTCAAATGTTTTGATTTTTAGATCCCACAAATATAGTGAGAACACACAATGATTCTCCTTCTGTGCCTGGCTTATTTCACTTAACATAATGATCTCCAGTTCTACCCTTGTTGTTGCAAATGCCTGTATCTCATTCTTTTTCTAAAAAATATTGACATTGCATGCCAGTTTCAAAACCTCTCAGATACTCCGTAAATATGTACACATACTATGTACACACAAAAATTAACAAAAATCCGTTAAAATAATAAATAATAAAAGCAGCATAACATTTGGGATCAATAATTAATTATGAATGATATGATTATGTTGTGTCTAAAATAATTTTATTCATATAATTTGTAACAGTAGTCATATTTTTATTTTGGATAAAATGTTAAGAAAAAAAGAGTGTCTGTCATTATTTGGTCATGCTTTAGTGCAGCTAAGGGAGTAAAGTGAAATTAAAATGTGTGATATCTAGTGGCCAAATAACTTGTTGCCCTTTAATTATATTTGGACATGGGGAGGGGGCAAATATATATTTAACATTCCTCCTTCCTTATCCAAATGAGATGAAGGAATATAAGTATTGTCAAACAAAATTTGTAGGAGAAGGGGTTAAACATAAAAGGGAGACTTTATTCAAGACTATGGCAAATAGAGGTGAAGACAATTTCAAAGGGAGATTGAGACTGAACTCAATGCTGTTGAAACAAAAAGCAGAAAAGTTTTTAAGCACTGGCATAAGAAAGTGGAAAAGTCCTGGAGGGATTTAGAGGGACGTTAGTCAATGTGATTACAAAACTTTTGGCAAATTGGCATGTATAAAAATTAGGCTACTCTTCCAGGAGACTGGAAGAGAGGGGCACTACATTCCTTGACCTGGGACAGCCCACAGTCCATGAGAAAGGCATCCTTGAGTTATAAAAGTGGCAAGAGGCTAGGAGAAGATTTATGTCTCAAATGGAAAGAGGAAGAATTTACAATTGCACATTTTCTAAAGTAAATGTTTTCTTCTTTCTTTTTTTTTTTTTTTTTCTTTGACAGAGTCTCACACTGTCACCCAGGTTGGAGTGCAGTGGTGAGATGTCGGCTCACTGCAACCTCCTCCTCCTGGGTTCAAGTGATTCTCCTGCCTCAGCTTCCCTAGTAGCTGGGACTACAGGCACACACCACAATGCCCAGCTTATTTTTGCATTTTTTTGTGGAGACAGGGTTTCACCATGTTGGCCAGGCTGGTCTCGAACTCCTGACCTCAGGTGATTCCTCCACCTCGGCCTCCCAAAGTGCTGGGATTACAGGTGTGAGCCAATGCACCCAGCCTGTTTTCTTTTTTTTTAAAAAAAGAAGGAAAATTAGAGGACTATATTCAGAAAGGAACCTCTCTAAAGATTAGTCCAGCTGCTGGTAATATGAAGGCATTCTTAGTCAATACACACACAGGCGCGCGCGCGCACGTGCAATTTTTCCTCCTCCACACTGTTTTATGCCAGCATAGTGTGTTCGTCCATTCTCACATTGCTATAAGGGAATGCCCGAGACTGGGTAATTTACAAAGAGGTTTAATTGACTCAGTTTCACACCGCTGGGGAGGCCTCAGGAAACTTACAATCATGGCGGAAGGCATCACTTCACAGGATAGCAGGAGAGAGAATGAATGCCAGCAGGGGAAAAGTCAGATGCTCTTAGAACTATCAGATTTTGCGAGAACTCACTATCACGAGAACAGCATAGGGGAAATCGCTCCCATGATTCAGTTACCTCCCACAGGGTCCTACCCATGACATGTAGGGATTATGGGGATTACAATTCAAGATGAGATTTGGGTGAGAAACAGCCAGACGATATTACATGGTAAATGGTTATGACGATGACTTTAGTTTTAAAAACGTATTTGCTAAGGCAAATGTCCAATGAGGCTTAGTTTTGTAACCATATGCTTACTTTCTATTTATTATAATTAATTGATCACCAGTCAAGTGAGAAAAATAATCATAAAATATGTAAATGGAAAAATTTTTGGAAGCCAAGATATGTATTAGAAACCAAACTATACATTCAGGAATAATTGAAGCACAGTTGAGGTTTCCTTATTTCCATTAATTCTGTTGTTTCAATTACTACCTACCCATAATTTGTGACAGTCACACCATATAATACTAATATTTTGCCCATAATGTATCCTCCTGACTGTCTTGGGGTTATCACAAGAGTCAGTGAACCAAGTAATGATTTGGAAATTCTGAATCTGAGAATTTAATTTACTTGTTGGATTGTAACCTTAATTGTTGATTCCACTTTTGTATTTTTGTAGCTTTTTGATGTGATATTGAGATGTTTGATACTGAGAAATAAACTTAACCACAAAATTATCATAAATATGAATAATAAAAATAATGGGAATTGAAATAATTATTTGATGACAAATCAATAACTTAAAAACAGTTACATAATTTAAGTGACTTATTTATTAATTTTCTTTGATCATATTTAATCTTGGAGATTAATTATTTTAATTTCAAATAGTATAAAACCTGTCATATAGCTGCTCATACAAGCTGTAGTAAAGTTCTCTCTAATACCATTGATTTTCAAAGCATTAGTGTTTTTTTGATACTGTTATAAATATGATACTATTCATAGCATGGACTAGTAAAGTAGAAGAATGCATACATTTTCTTTTTCATTCTTTTGAGAAGGAAAACATAACTTATTGGAATAGAATAAATTAAGGGAAAAATCTCTACATATAGGATGCCACTCTTAGTTTGATCAATTATCAGAATTCTGCAATATATTTATGTTTGCAGATATTTTAATGTAAAATCTATAGATTTGAATTACTTTCTTATCTGTTAAAATGATAATGTTTGTAAATGGTTTATCAGCATTGTGCCAATTATTCCTAAAAGAGTACATTGGGAGAAGGGGGACTGATACAGGTTCATTTGAATTTTTCAGTCATTTCCAATATGACTTCTTTGTACAATTAGAATTTCATGACATTCTACACTGCTTTCTGGATACTATATTGGGCCCTGGAACAAATATCTTGTCAGTGAAGGGACTTGGTTGAGTCTAGTGAAATACTGAAATGTATCTGAAATAAAATATTTCTACTTTTTTTTCTTATTCTCTTTATTTAACTATCCTAAGATTTTCAATTAGGTAAAATTTTAAAACATATGTTTGACTCTTTTGAGAAAACTGTATTTCCTCACTCACACTGGCATTAAGGAAAACATAAGATTCATTAAAACTTTTTAATTTTATTTATTTATTTATTTTGAGATGGAGTCTTGCTTTGTCGCCCTGGAGTGCAATGGCGGGATCTCAGCTCACTGCAACCTCTGCCTCCCGGGTTCAAGTGATTTTCCTGCCTCAGCCTCCTGAGTAGCTGGGATTGAAGGCGCCTGCCACAATGCCCGGCTAATTTTTGTATTTTTAGTAGAGACGGGGTTTCACCAGGTTGGTCAGGCTGGTCTCGAACTCCTGACCTCAGGTAATCCACCCCTCTCGGCCTCCCACAGTGCTGGGATTAATTTTATTTAATGTTTTCTACAACTTCCCAGGTAATAAAGAAACAAGAACTTAAATAGCAGAGTGAGAATTTAATTTTCTTTTGTTATTTTTTATCTAAGAAACACAGAAAATAAACGCAAATGAGAATATTACATGCTACAAATGATGTGGATAAAATAAGTACAGCCATATTTCATAGTTGTTTATTACATATTTTTGTCTGGGGTATGCCTACCACACAGCTGACACTGGTTGTTCTGTAATGCAAGGAGGAGCCACAACACCATTTTATCCTGTTGAGGAAAGATGACATTCTTGCACACATGTTTTCAGATGCTCCTGGAATATCTCTTATACTCATAAAAGTTATTTCATGGCACCTGCATGTTGAGACCTTTATCAAACCCCTGATTAAAAGGATCACTTTCTGCTCTTTGTCTCCGCTATGGTTAAGTGCCAGCCCCTACTTTATAAGTTACTTTCTCAAATTTATGGAAGTTTCTTGAAGCAAAAAACTGTTTGGCGTTTCCTCTCATTCTCAGAATTAAACCAAGAGCACTGGTAAAGATAATTACATAATTATAATGAACACCATTAAAGCCTTTCTTTAACTGATTTAAAAAGCAGTTGTATAAAATACACACAAAAATATTTAGCAATGAAAATAATGAATTATTAATACATGTTATAAAACATGAAACTCATAAATACATTATACTAAGCGAAAGAAACCAGTCACAAAAGACCACATTAACCAGTCTATTGATATGAAATATCTAGCACAGGGAAATCTATAGACAGAGAATATAGATTTGTGTTTGTTTAAGACTGGAGCGGGGAGACCCACAATACAGAATTGATAGCTAAAAGCAATAGGACAGGGAGACTTTTTGAGGTGAGAGAATATTCTTAAAGTGACTGTGGTGATGGTTGCATATATGTGAATATACTAAAACAATTTTAATGTACACTTTAAATGAGTGAATTTTATAGTATGTGAATTAAATCTCAATAAAGCTGTTAAAACAATTCATGGATGAATATACTAATTGGCCACCAAAGGATATAGACCTTGAATTTTTGTTTCATATATTTTAAGAGTCAACAAAATTTTTTGTTGTGAATTTGTTGTTGAATTTTTTGTATGTTAAAACTAGATGATAAACATAGTAGAAAAGTCTTTTTATGTTTTCATTTATTTTATTATATGAAACCTTGATGAGACTGCTAGTTGTAGCATGAATTTTTAATAGTTTTAAGGTTTCTGTGATGTAAGAATGTGATTGTGTAATTTCCTTTTGTTTTTATTATCTTACCCACAGAAGCCATTTTACATTTCCTCTGATAAAATATTTTAGGGAATAGATGAGGAAATCTGTAGCTTTATTTGAATTTTTCAATGGAGAAAAAAATTTAAAATTTAAAATTATTTAAAATTGAAAATATTAATTTAGTCTTAGATTTAATATTTATAAATTCAATATTCAGAAAACTAAGGATTTATTTGATAACTAGTAAACATTAATGTAGAATCATTGAGAAAAAAATCCCAATTGCACTCAAATTTGTGCAAGAATTCATTTCCATTTACAGATTGTAAACTTTATTATGTTTCTTTCTTTATAGAAGGTTCACTGGAAACAACTTCTAAGAAGATGCTTAGCATACAAGAAGATTTTTAGGGGCTGCTGTCTGGAACAAAAGCCATTAAAGGATAAGCAAAGCAAGATTGGACAGAGGAAGAAGTTAAGCTGAAATACATTGTACACAGAGGGTCAGCCCATCCCTCTGGCAGCTCTGAAGCTGACCTTCAAAGCTGTCTCACATGGAAGCAAAGAGTCTAAGATTTTTACTCCCTCAACACCCACTCAGTGGACCTGGCTGTCCCAGGGAGTGAAACATTTCCTTGAATGAAGCAGCTCCCTTTTGCCAAGGGAAACCCGGGGAGGTCACTGTGCTGCGAACACTCAGGGTGGCCCTCCCAGAAATTGAGAAAAACGGGTGCCTCCACCCTCCCAGCAACTGAGAAAGCAGATGCCCCCACCGCAAAGGGTGCATTGGGGGCTGCATTCACTACAATTTTTCAAAATAAAATGGATAAACTGAGGGAAAATATTTGATACACATATACTTAATATAACTAATTACATTAAGACATGGTGGAAGAAATATGAAAAAATGTAAAGTGTAAAAACAAAGAAAATTAAAAAATATAAAATTGTATTAAATAGAATAATAAAATATATCTTTTTTTCATGTATCTTATATAACCGTTGAAAAATTCATTCATAGGCAACGTTAGCACACATGTTGCACGTTTGGTAATTTTGATAAAATTAACTACTATCTCTAGTAATAAGCATACAGAATATTTTATTTTCTCCATCTTAGATTGTCATAGATTTATTTTGACTTTTGACCAAAATTTGAAAAACAAATAGCTGTTCATGACTTAAAGTGATGAAACTTTCTTTAATTCTATATATCTTTAATGAATGTATAAGTTCTGTATTATTCAATAAAATTTTGTGCTATATTTATTTCTCTGACACTACACTTTGTTAGCTGTGTCTTCTCAACTCTGCTGTAAGACATTTGAGAGTAAGATCATATCGTCTCTCTTTATAATTCAGAATAACAAGAATGGCACTCTGGTTCTAGACGCTAAATACATGCTGGGTGCTCAATTATCCCATCATGTTTTTGAAAGCGGAGATGTTCTCTTATTCCCCTCGCAGGGCGTGTGACAGGGGTGTGGTTTGTTTCTTCAGTGCCCTGCTGCTCAAACCCCTTGGGGGAGCATGCAGAGGGACAGGTCATGGGGAGTATTTTTTCTGACCCCACAGCCTTGTCTAGGGTTGAGTGTTTACAGCTTCTGAAGCCCCAGTGGAAGTGTGTTATAGTGCACTCTTTCGGCTTTGCCTTCTCCAGGCAGCAGGCAGCTTGTGTTAAGCAGCTCAACTGGACCCTCTGCCTTGTACACAAGACGGGGGGCTTTCTGTATCCCGGGTTCTTGCCCTAATGTACCAGAAAAATCGGATCACATGTGGGCTTGCAGAATGAGTGCAAGGTTGTATTGAGTGGTGGAAGTAACTCCCAGTAAGATGGATGGGGAGCCAGAAGGGGGATGGAAGGGGATGATGGTCCTCCCCCGCAGTTGGGACGCCCAGCGGCCGCACTCTCCTCCCACTGCCCCTGCTGAATTCCACTGCCTTTGATGGTCTGCTGGTGTCTGCTGGTGTCTATCAATTTGCTCTTCTGCTCCTCTCAATCTTCAGCTGTTTGTTTCTGTGCTCGCTAGGGTCTCGGGATTTTATGGGCACAGAATGGGGCTGTGTGGCAGGCCAAAAGGCAACTTTTGGGGCATGAAAACAGAAATGCCTCTTCTCATTTAGGTTTGTGGGTCCCTCTATAGGGACCCGGCCCTTCTCTATCCAGCACTTTCCTGCCTCCCTCCCATATCATTTTTAGAAACTTGTTTTTGAGAAATTAAAAATATACAGTAGAGCAAGAGGGTATAAAAATAATAAATCACTTATATCCTCATAACAGAATTGATAACTATTTTATAATTTTTAAGAAAATTACGACCTCTTTTTTTTTTCATTAAATAGCCTATACCTACCTAAGGCAGCCATTCAAAATCTTTCAGTAAAATAATTGGAGTGCATTTCATAAGTTATTATTCATTTGTTTATCTTCCTTATTATTACATTTGTGGAATTTGTGGAATTGAGGGTTTGGGTTTGCCCACACATTTTGGTTAAGCCAAGCATTCACATTTACTTATATTTTTCTCTTCTCCACCTTTCTTTGTGCATTCTCCTTAAATTTGTGATGTAATGAGTGCCTTCACTAAATCTTGTGTAGCCCTCATCTAGAAACAGTTCTGGGTTTATCAGTATGGTGATGATGAGAAAATAATAAATACATAAAATAAAGTGCAGTCCTGACAGCTGACATCTTGTATCTATTCTAGTTCCCATCAGTAAGGCTATCAAGTTGCCATGCTGAAAATAAAAATGTTGACAGAATACCAACCGACACGGTCTATCTGTGATCATGATGGAAAAAGACAATAACATGAATATTCTGTAATCAAGAATCATGAAAACAAATATGCAATGCAATCAAATAAGTGATCAAGCATCCCTCTCTCCCAGCTACCCTGAATGATTACTGCATCTTCACCTGTTTGCTGACAGCATTGATTCCAAAACAGACTCCCATTTCCATGCACTCTCCTCCATCCAATTCACTTAATGCTCCTCTAGTCTTCTAACAAATACTTCCTGACATCTCCTTCTGAGACACACCATGGCTCCAATGGTTTGCAATTCCTTGTGTCACATCAAGTACTCAGCATAGGTTTTTTTGAATACAAATGCATCCCAAGTAATCTGACTTTTGTTTTGTTTTGTTTTATTTTGCATCAACAGTACTAAGGAATATCTTGGCTCTATTCTTGGTCTTAAGGTTCCGTCTGTGTTGTTCTTCTCTGTGCTAAGATATTTAGCTCCAAGAGGAATTTAGCTCCAGTATTTTTTTCATCTTTTCATAAATTGAAGAACCATATTCCTGGTCTCTGGCTTACCACAAAAAAGTTGGATCCCATCTTAAGAGAAACATTTTAAACACATTTATTATTCTACTTTGGATCAAAAACCTAGCAAGCCTACGTCTTTAGTCTGTTCACCAGTCTGGTTTATATTTTTATGGCCTTCAGATATGTGTGTCTTGTATGCAACCCTCATTAAAACTTTTTAGTTTCCTCTTTATCTATTAGTGCTATGTGTTTTGGGTAGGGAAACATTTAAATATAAGCACACTGAGCCATCTTGACCAGTGAAAAAGCTTGTCTTTAGTGTCTTATTTCCTTCAATGTTTTTTATTGTTTTATTTTTAATTTGTATTTATTTATTATTTGTTTATTTATTTTTTGAGATGGAGTCTTGCTCTGTCGCCCAGGTTGGAGGGCAGTGGCGCGATCTCGGCCCACTGCAAGCTCCGCCTCCTGGGTTCACGCCATTCTCCTGCCTCAGCCTCCCGAGTAGCTGGGTTTACAGACGCCCGCCACCACGCCCGGCTAATTTTTTTGTATTTTTAGTAGAGACGGGGTTTCACCATTTTAGCCAGGATGGTCTCGATCTCCTGACCTCGTGATCCTCCCGCCTCAGCCTTCTAAAGTGCTGGGATTACAGGCGTGAGCCACCGTGCCCGGCCTATTGTTTTATTTTTAAATTTATTTATATATATACTTTTTTGAGACAGAGTCTTGCTCTGTCGCCCAGGCTGGAGTGCAGTGGTGTGATCTTGGTTCATTGCAACCTCCGCCTCCTGGATTCTAGTGTTTCTCCTGCCTCAGCCTCCCAAGTAGCTGGGACTACAGGCGCCCACCACGATGTGTGGCTAATTTTTGTATTATTAGTAGACACGGGGTTTCGCCACGTTGGCTAGGCTGGTCTCGAACTCCTGACCTCAAGTGAACCACCACCTCAGGCTCCCAAAGTGCTGGAATTACAGGTGTGAGCCACAGCGTCCAGCCCCCTCAATGTTTCTAAACAAAATAAACACAACATTATTCATAAAATCAGCATCTCTTTTGACAACCAGCACAAACCTATGCCTTTATTCTATCTCCAAAGCAATTTTTCTCTTGAGTCTATTGTTCTTGTCTGTATTTTTCTTCTTTTCCACACTACATGTGCAATTATGTATAATATATTATTATTTGTGTTTTAAAATTACATAAATGGCTTCATTGTCTTCGTATCATTCTGCAATATTATTTTTTTCACTTGACATGATTTCAAGTCTATCTATGCATCCACGGTTTTAAGTGTTTTCTTTTAACTGCTGCATGGTGCCCTTTTTCTTTAAGGACATCATCATGAGAAAATAAACATAATGTTATCATTCATATCTATCTATCTATCTATCTATCTATCTATCTATCTATCTGTCTATCTATGCAGTAAAAAACCATATCTATTTGGAAATGTTCAAAACATCCCTTTAGAGCATGGTTATTCTACAGATTTATTACAGATACAGATTATGCATGAATTTTCCACATTTATAAGGTGTCTAAAATGCCCTTATGGAGTCTATATTCTATTTTGCATACCCTATAAAGCCAGTTTTCAAAATTTTGCAAAGGTGGGTTACTTAAATCTTTTCTTTCCTATCTTGCTGATTTTAATCACTTTTCTTCATCAGAGGTGGAAATAGGTAAATAAGTTGACATATCTAATAATCTAAGAACTGAACATCTGATAAAATTCTAAATTTTATAGAAAAAGTCTGCCTCTCTTTCTAAATTACAGTTCTTAGCTTGATTCTAGATCTGAAATTTATATTCAAATTCTGTAGATCTACCGTTCACCTTGTGGTCTAGCAATTTTATAATGTGATGGTTCTTTCCTGAGAAAACAGAAATAATAAAGTGTAGTTAATTTACATCGTGGTGGGCGCCTGTAGTCCCATCTACTTGGGAGGCTGAGGCATGAGAAACACTAGAAGGACATAAAAAAGTATACACGTGTTACGCACACATATCTGATTAGAAAGCAAGAAAGATGCAAGGGGCAAGTTTCAGAAGACACAGTGTTTGAATGATATCTTGGATTTAGAATTGAATTTCTGAATATCAACATACAGATTAAAGAAGCTGACTACTTAATATTTAGTCGTCTTTTTTTTTTCTTGAGTTTCTCTAAAATACACTAATTGTTGGCTTTTGACATGTAAAATAATTTCCTAAAATGACCATTCTTATTTAAAATAAAAATTTCATCATTTGTAAAAATTGGGCCAGATGCTATGGCTCATGCCTGTAATCCCAGCACTTTGGGAAGCTGAGGTAAGCAGATCACCTGAGGCCAGGAGTTCGAGACCAGCCTGGCCAACATGGTGAAACCCCATCTCTACTAAAAATACAAAAATTAGCTGTGTGTGGTGGCATGGGCCTGTAATCCCAGAAACTTGGGAGGCTGATGCAGGAGAACGGCTTGAACCAGGGAGGCAGATGTTGCAGTGAGCTGAGATCGTGCCACTGCACTCCAGCCTGGCAAAGTGAGACTCCATTTCAAAAATAATAATAAAATAAAATAAAATATGGCACAAATTTATAATTTTTATATGAGTAAAGTAATTCTAAAAGGAAACTACAGATTTAACATAGACATCTCCTAACAAAGAGAGGCCATCATAGTGAACAGTCATTTGCAGTGTCTTGTTTTTTTCTACCAAACAGAGGCGAGAAAGTAGCCATATGAACAACAACCTGACAATCATTGACTTCAAAATATGGAATAAACACAGGACCAGAAAGTAGGCCCCTGAAAGTTATGTAGGAGACCCAAGGCAAAGTTTGACAATTCCTGTCTTCTCATATAGCTCACCAGTCTAACAATATTCCAACAGGTAGTTTTCAGTGCCAACTTTCAGTTTTAACCAAGTTATTATATTGGCTAACTCAGTAATTAATTATAAAGAACATCTACCTGAATTTAAAAAAAAACTCAATCTGAGAATCTCTGATTTTAAATTGCAGTGTATAGTAGTTTATTTCTATTAATTTGATAACTGAGGAATACAGATTTATCTTTTTGGTTTTATATTTTCTCTACTTTTGTTCTTCTTTTCCGATTTTGATAGATTTATCTGGTGTTTTTATTTCTATTATTTCACAACCTTTTGGAAAAGTATCTATTCTAAATTTACTTTTTTAATGATTGCCATTTTATTATTAATATATGTATTATCTTTAGATTTTCTAACAACTTTAACTTCCTGCTGAATCACAATTCCTCAACTTCTGTTTCGAGCTTTAGTATTTTGTTAACATAATATTTTTAAATATTTTGTTACAATCTCATAATTATTACCTAGATCATATAACTGTTGGAATAATTTCTGTGCCTATTCTTGATTTTTGCACCTGTCTTTCTTTCCCAATCTTAGTCCATCTATTGTTTATATTGGTTTATGAACTTTAATAATAGTGGATCTATGAGCAGTAAAAGTTTTTTGCAATGTAAGACTAAAATGTTTTTATTTCAGTCTCACTTATGAAGAAAAATATAACATCATAGAATTATTGGTTTGACTATTTTGGCTTAGAATATTAAAGACATTACTTCCGTGTATTTTGCTCAGATAAGAAAACTAAGCTAATCTCATTGCCATTCTGTTGTGGCTGGTCTCACTCTTCACTCTAATGTCTTTCCCCTTTGCCCTCTCTTTTTCCTGGACTCAGTGTGTACAAGCTTAAAAATGCATCTTTCTCAGTATACATCCAGTTTTCAGATATGAGGATTTATATCTTTCTCTAAATCCAAATTGTTTTCTGACACTTCACCTGCTCAGTGAGTCACTGTTCACTGTTTTGTGATCTCCTTGATGCTGCTTTGCTTTGTAAGCTCCTGATGATCTCTTACATCTTGCAACTAGTTCATTCTTTTGATGTCTTTACCTTACGTGATTCATTTTGAAACATTTCTTCAATTATATTGTCTACTTTGCAAGTTCTAACTTCAACTGTGGGCAGTTTTAAGAGTTCCTATAATTTTTCCAATGACTATAGTTTTATTTTTTTAAATGGTCATGTTTTCTGTATGTCTGTACTTATTTCATCTATATTACCTTTCTGCCCTGCTTAAACTATGGATATTTAAAAGAAACTTTTACATAATTTTTTTCAGGATGCACAACTAATCTAATTTAATCAAGCATAAATTTGTTCATTTGTTGAACCTGTTGCTAATCATATCAACCTTAACTCAAGCATGGCACTGGGCTTCTTCTTGCATCTGAAAATATTTTGTGAACTCATTTTGATGCTTTTTCCCGAACAGACCAGCTCTATGGGTTGCATAAGCTCTCCGTTTCGTATCTGTGACTTCACTCCTTTGGGTCTCTTCAGCTGCACACAGATGTAATACTGCTTATAAGGTGAAAAATGCAGTTTCTTGTCAGGCAGATGTTCTGTGTTTACCCCCATTTCTACTTCTTTCACTAATGAGTAAAATCTAAAATCTTTCCAGATGTAAGCTTGGAACAGGAACAGTGGGAGTAGCTACTTGGTCCTAACCCACAGTTTCAGAAATCAATACCCACCCAGCTTAATGTACAGATCCTGGTTTTATTTACAGGATATGTTGAGCTCTCAATCCAAAGCAGGCATTAAAGCATTGGTTCTTACTTTCCATAGGTTCTTACTTTCTATTCAGCCCTCTGTAGACCCTCAACTTAAGGTTATTGCTTTCCTCTTTATGAAGTCCATCGTGATTGCTTTTGCTTAGCATTATCATTATTAATGTCTGTAAATTCCTAACACATACCCTTTATGTTTATCTATATTTGGATCAGAGAAAGGATGTTTTCATTGCACCAAATATCATAATGGTAATTTTTCGTTTACCTTTAAGTGTTTTTTTGTCTGTAAAACTCATTTCTTATACAAAGGATCAAGTTACTATCCTACAATTCTTATTATCTCCAAATTTAGAACAGGATTCAAAATAGTAGAAAAGTATTGTAGATGAACTACTAGGTGTATTTCATGTAAATTGTGGTACTAAAGGAAATTCTGATAAATATGTGAATAAGTAAGAAGAGAGGGGTGAGGAGTAGTAAGAAGAAAAAGAAAAAAGAGAAGAAAATATTCCTTTTAAAATATGCAAAAGGAGATCTTTTTTTTCCCTCTAACAAAAACCTACATATTTTTCTCTAAGGTGAAAATGATGTCACTTTTATCCACATGTTAGCAGTACCAAGAGTCTGACACATCAAAACCTGTGTATTTCATTGCTTTGCTTATCATTAAATTGCTGGAGGAATTTGTGGCACCGTAGCTAAATACTCAAAAACTGTTCAGGGTTCCAGTCAATAAAATATATATATATTTTATATATATGTTATATATGTTATATGTTATATATGTTATATATATTATATATATGTATGTTATATATATGTTATATATACGTATGTTATATATATATGTTTTTTATATATAAGTTTTATATATATATATAACATAAGAGTCTCTTGCCCATATTTCTTCAAGTTATATATGGCTAGAAAACATGAGAAAATCTGGTGTTCTTTCTTCTAGAGATGATTAAGAATATTTATTTCCGTGTCAACACGTGTCAATTGGCATAACTGTGTATATTGCTATTTAGAATTCTAGATTTGGACCTTGCTTTCAGACTAAGTGAAGACAATTACTTATTAAAGAGCACACAGTTAATACCCCAGTTATAGGATACCAGTAAAAATATGTGTGCCTCCTTATATTCCTGTGCCTCCTTATATTCCTAATGGCCCAGTTTCAGGTTATAATAGGAAACTCTGATTGGAAAGAGCTCTTTGAATTAGCTATCCAAGATCATTTATCTTTCTATTCCTCCTAGTATTAAGGACAATGCCTTTCCCATTGTAAACACTGTCAATATTTGATATTTATCTTTCTTATACCATTTACTCTCATTCCATCTCTCTATTCAATCAAATATTAATGAATAGCAATTTGGAATTGCAACAAACAAAAAAATCAGATCTAGTTGTCATCATCATGCCCATGGTAAAATGCTCACTACGTTGTCAGTTTAAATTAGTTCTTTTATCTCAAATCCCAATAGTACTATCTTTAAGTTCTTTTCATCCTGCATTTTTATCATTATCCAGTTCTGAGTAAACTTCATGAAATCTACAGGGACATTTGAGAAACTATTGTTCCAAAAAGTGGGTCAGTGCTCTTTTGTCTATAAGATGTTCTTATCATTTTTATACAGAGTTTAATTAATGGAATTGAATTATAAGTGCACATAAAAATCTGTGTTGGTCATAAAAATAATAGTAAAGATTGCCTATGACATTTTTTTCTATAGAAAACAATTCTGCTTAAGATAATTCTTTATTGTACTGTTAGTAAAAGTTTAGTTACTGACAATGCAAAATGAACCTAATTATAAAATTATCTCACAATTCCTTGTTCCTTATGCCAGCATTAGAGTAAAAGTTGAGTTTAATGTGATTCAGAAAGTAGCAGATGGCCTAAATATTATTCATTAACTTATTTTTTTTTTTAGTAAATTTACTGTGTACACAAGCAAGAAGGGGAAAAACGTCAGGTTACTGTACTCTGTTCTGCAAATAATTTTTTGTCAAAATACAGATTATCAGCAAATGCGAATAGGAAGATATGCAAAAACTAATACATGATTATTAATAAATTAATAAATAATAAATGCAATGTATATTGACTACATAGTGCTGTGATGTAAATATCTGTACCCCACAAATTCATGTTAAAATTGTAACTCCACAGGTGATGGCATTGGGGGGTGGAGTCTTTGGCAGACGATTGGTTCACAAAAGCAGAGTCCTCACAAAGGGATTAGTGCCTTTATAAAAGAGAGCAAGTTAGTCCCTTTAACTATATAAGGGCACAGCTAGAAGGTAGCACTTATAAATCAGAGAGTGGGCTCTCACCTGACACTGAATTTGCCAGTACCTTGACCTTAGACTTTCCAACCTCCTGAACTGTGAGAAATAAATCTCTGTGTTTATAAGCCACCCAGTGCATAGTATTTTGATATAGCAGCCAAAAAGGACTAAGACACACATTTCTAATGTTCAGTATTTTTCAATGATAAGTCTCACTCCCTTACATGAAAGTACAAAATAATTCAGAAATCTCCTAGTACTACCAAACTGTGTTGTTGTTTTTCAGTTTAATCTGCATGGGTTAATTTTTCCATTCAGTATAGGAACTTATTGACTCAGCCAGGAATCTAAAAATTGTGTTTGTTAGCAAAAAAATGAAAGCAATTGGCAGACATTCATAATCCAGTTATTGTTTGACTTAAACACTCTAGCTGCCAACTGCAAGAGAAAGTGGAAAAAAAAGAACAGGAATGGGCTTAAAATTTATTTGTTGATTTGGTGGAAAAACACAAAATAGCCTCACTACATTAATTGCTTTTCATGTTTTCTTGCATTATACATTTTTTTAGTGTTGAGGATTTTGAAATGATGGCTTGGTACAAAGTTACAATTTGAATCATGTAGCCATTTGCTGTTTTCATTTAAGAGAAACAAATTCCCTATGGATATAGAAGGGAAACAGAAGTTCTTGCAGCTTCTCATTTATTTACCAGCGAAAGGAAGCAAGTGGGTGACTCTACCAGAAAATCCAGAGACACTTCCCAGCTAGGAAGGATGATCAAAGAATCTGAGAGTTGAAACATCTTCTAATAAACATTCTTTTGCTAGAAAACTCTGGAACAGAGGCAACAAGTATGCATTTCAAAGAAGTCTAAAAATTATGACTACACTTTGATTTTGGAATTGTACACAGAACAGAATACACAAAGTCCAAACATCTCATACTGTCAATGCTATTTCTTCCTATTCTTGAAGTGCAGTGACTGGACCTCCCACTGATTCTATGTGGTAACTGTAAGAAAAATCTTAAAAAGTGATTTTATTTTGTAATTTTTGGGGGGAAGAAAACTATAGGGCATAGTGATCCAATGTGAGTAAAACCAACCTTTCTTTTGCAAAAGATCCACTTGATCCCAGTGTATTAAAAAAAAAAAAAGAAAAAAAACAGCTTAAAAACTGTCTTAACGTCTCATTCTAATGTGGCCTCATTATACAAAATCTGTTCCAAGAGACAAATTTTTAATGGTTTTTTAGACCTTTAATGTAACCCCAGGATCAGGATCTGAAAATATCTATGTTTTTATTATCAGTGCATTCCCTAATGTGTTTTGTGTAGCACTAGATTAAGAATCAAAGTGCTTGTAAAAACGGGAATATCATCTCATACCAGTTGAATCGCAGTTGAGCTGTAAGTGTAAAATTTGGTTTTAAAATCAAAGGGGCAGGGCCCAGTGGCTCACACCTGTAATCCTCAGGCTTTGAGAGTCCAAGGTGGGAGGATCACTTGAGGTCAGGAGCTCAACACCAGGCTGGGCAGTATAGTGAGACCCCATCTCTACCATAAAATAAAATAAAATTAGTCAGGAGTGGTGGTGTGCACTTGTAGTCCTAGCTACTCAAGAGGCTGACACAGGAGGATCGCTTGAGCACGGGAACTTGAGGTTGCAGTGAGGTAGGATTGCACTCTATACTACAACAACAGAACATGACACTGTCTCTAAAAATAAATAAATAAAATCAAAGGGACTACAAATTTGATTTTGAAAGTCCACCCAAGTGAATTTTATGCATACTAAAGTTTAAACACTAATTTTTATAAACTTAATGAGATATGTACTTTCTTTACATGTCTACTCATCAGATATCTATTGTCAACCAAATACTTTATCAAACTTAAAGATAAAATTTAAAGTAACAATGAAATTGTTTAAGAATTTGTACTCGATCTGAGGTCACATGGGCTCTGCTCTCATTTTCAAGTCCTCTCTGTAACTCCAGGCAAGTTACTTTACCTCTTTAAGTATCAGTATAAGGTGGCTGTAAAAATTTCATAGAGAACCTGTACAAAGCACTTGGCACTAGTCAAAGTCAAGTCAGACAATAAAAAGACTAATAACATTTATTGAATACTTAATATATGCCAGGCTCTCTCCTAAGTGTTTTATACATCTTAACTCATTTACACCTTACAGCAAAATGGTAATATGGGTGAATTTGTACATACATATTACGGATGAGCAAACAAGGGCAATATGAGATAATTTCTTTATCCAAAATTACAGTTTGTAAGTGGAAGGGCCTAAAATTAAAGTTTCAGCACAAGCAATTTACTTAAGAAATGCAGGTAATCTTAGTAGTAGAGTAAGAAAGTGACAGAGAAAAGCAAATTCAGTCAGTAAAGCATTCACTATAAGACGTCTAACTCTGTGGGCCACTGAAGTTTAATATCATGGGGAAAATCTGAGAATTGTGAATGCCACACCTAGGAATTATCACAGCTGGGAGACAAGGACGTTGAATTAATTTTAGAGCAATGACCAAGTCAATAGTTGAGGTAATCTTTTGTGAATTTTAATTCCTGGGCCAATCACATGTGGGGAGTATTACCTTTCATACATGAAGAAGAGTGGGCAAAAAGAGCCATCAGATATACACATGCAGACCCTGACAGCTGGATGCAAACCGAAGCAGACAGCAAGTTCCCAGGCATGTGAGTTGGGCATAAAGTGCCTCCGTTGCAGAGGCCCAGCTGGAATTGCCTTTAACTCCAAAGCATAAACTCATATCTACTACGGTTGATTGCTTTTCTAGATTTATCCCTGCACAAACATAGCTCTAACAGTTTCAAGATATTTCTTAACTGTTTTGCTGTTGTCAGACATTTTTTTGTAGTTAATAGGGTAGAGTTGCTTATTAATTTATTTATTTTAGGTCCTAAATTTATTTATTTATAGGTCCTAAATGAATCAAAATGCCTAATAAATGGGTTCTCATCTCAAGGAGAAGACCTTTTTATAAAAAACATAAGACAAGTTTTCAGACTGGCATGAAGACATAATTGAGCTGTTAAAGAATTTTATATAGAATTAGAAAACTTCACATTCTTTCGATCCTTTTATGCTCTTTAGTTGTAGTTTTAAATCAGAATTTAATGCATTCAACCTACCTATATATTGAATGCACTCTATGCCATGATCTGTTCTAGACACTAGGTTTAAATGAAAAGCTATATAAGACTCATATTGCATAGAGAGAAATAGAAATAAGAACATTTACAAACAAAGATAATTTCATAGAAGGTTAAGTGATATGACAAATATAAATAAAGACTAAGTAAAAGGATAATCATTGTATACAAATGGCTACTTTAGCTTTGCTGATTAAGAAAAGCCTCCAGAGCAATTAACTGAAGAGAACGATGATAGGTAAGCCTTGCAAAACTCGAGGGAAATCTGGAGCCCAAGAGGATGATCAAGATAGAATTATAGAGCAATGGAAATCTAAATTAAGTCAGTAAAGAAAGGAATTTTTAAAAAGCTTCAATTTATTGAGAAACTATTATGTGTCTGAAAACTGACATTTTATTTGTTAATTTCTTAGCAATTTTGCATATTATGTTATATGTGCTTTCTAAATTGGAAAAATGAGTGATAAATTAAAATTGGATTAAGATCACGCACAAACGCTGGTGGTAAAATCTGAGTCCAGATCTAACTTGATTTAAATGTTGAACTTTAAAATAGGTCTCACCAAATTTCCAAAAAGCTAAATGGTACTTTATTTTTATGTGAAATTAAATTCGAGTCAAATATAAGAAGATAATTAGAAATTATCCAAATGTCTGGAAATTAAGAAATGTACTTCTAATTGAAATAACAATGAAAATACTGAATATTTAAATTTGCAATATACAGCTAAACTGTGCTTAGAAGGAAAGCATAACTTTCTCTTCTTTTAGCTTGTAAGTTCAAGGGTACACGTGCAGGTTTGTTCTATAGGTAAACTCGTGTCATGGAGGTTTGTTGTAAAGATTATGTTATCATCTGATTATTAAGCCTAGTACTTATAAGTTATTTTTCCTGATCCTCTCCCTCCTTCTACTCTCCACTTTCAGGTAGGTCCCAGTGTCTGTTGTTGCCCTCTATGTGACTATGTGTTCTCATTGTTTAGCTCCCACTTGTAAGTGAGAACATGCAGTATTTGGTTTCCTGTTCCTGTGTTAGTTTGCTAAGGTTAATGGCTTCTAGCTCCATCCAAATTCCTGCAAAGGACATGATCTCATTCTTTTTCATGGCTGCATAATATTCCATGGTGTATATGCACCACATTTTCTTTATTTAATCCATCATTGATGGGCATTTGGGTTGATTCCATGTCTTTGCTATTGTGAACAGTGCTGCAGCAAACATACACGTGTGTGTCTTTTTGACAGGATGATTTATATTCTTTTGGGTATATACCCAGAAATGGGATTGTTGGGTTGAATGGTAGATCTGATTTTAGCTCCTTGAGGAATCACCACACTGCTTTCCACAATGGTTGAACTAATTTACATTCCTACCAACAGCACAAAAGTGTTCCTTTTTCTCCACAATCTCACCAGCATCTGTTGTTTTTTGACTCCTTAATAATAGCCATTCTGACTGGTGTGAGATGGTATCTCACTGTGGTTTAGATTGAAAACACAACTTTCAAGACAAATTTAGAAAATAAAAAAGCCATCAAATTAATCATCTACATATTCATTATAGAAATTTAGAATTTAGAAAAAGAGAATATTGTACAAAATATAGAATATTACTTTTTAAAAAGTGGAAAAAATGTGAAATAGAAAACAAATAGCAAAAATTAGCAAAGCCAACAGTTGATTGTATGAAGAAATTAACACAGTATATGAACCCTGGACAATGTCAAGCACATAAGGAAGAGAGAAGGCACTAAAATGCAGTATCAATACAAAAAGAGCATCCTTGCAACACTCACAGACAAAAATGTGGCATCAGTAAAAAGATGATAAGGATACTAGTTTTAAAATCATCCTAGTAATTTAGAAAGTCTATATGTTTTATGTCTCTACTTGCCAAAAGTGAACTAGGAAGAAACAGAGAATTGAAAACATTTACAATCATTGCATAAATAAATCATATTTAAAATTTCCAGCAAAGAAAACTTCAGGCTCATATCCAAACTCACTGAGAAATTCTACCAAATATTAAAGGAAGAAATAGGATCTATCTTAGCAAAAGTCTTTTAAATAATAGTAAAGTGGAAACATTTCACAACATAGTTTGCAAGGCCAGCATAATATCTGGCCAAGACATTATACAAAATAAAAATCAAAGATCAATGTTTCTCATGAAAATAGGTACAAAAACTTAAAATATTACCACAGCAAATTTAGTGTTATATAAAAAGGAATGTGATTCACAAATAATTTTCATTTATCCCACAATTACAAGGTTATTTTAGCATTTTAAAATCTATCAACATATAGCGTGATGCCTCCAGGTTTGTTCTTTTGGCTTAGGATTGACCTGGCGATGCAGGCTCTTTTTTCGTTCCATATGAACTTTAAAGTAGTTTTTTTCCAATTCTGTGAAGAAAGTCATTGGTAGCTTGATGGGGATGGCACTGAATCCATAAATTACCTTGGGCAGTATGGCCATTTTCATGATATTGATTCTTCCTACCCATGAGCATGGAATGTTCTTCCATTTCTTTGCATCCTCTTTTATTTCATTGAGCAGTGGTTTGTAGTACTCCTTGAAGACGTCCTTCACGTCCCTTGTAAGTTGGATTTCTAGGTATTTTATTCACTTTGAAGCAATTGTGAATGGGAGTTCAATTGTGAATGGGAGTTCCAATTGTGAATGGATTTGGCTCTCTGTTTGGCTGTTATTGGTGTACAAGAATGCTTGTGATTTTTGTACATTGATTTTGTATCCTGAGACTTTGCTGAAGTTTCTTATCAGCTTAAGGAGATTTTGGGCTGAGACAATGGAGTTTTCTAGATATACAATCATATCATCTGCAAACAGGGACAATTTGACTTCCTCTTTTCCTAATTGAATACCCTTTATTTCCTTCTCCTGCCTAATTGCCCTGGCCAGAACTTCCAACACTATGTTGAATAGGAGTGGTGAGAGAGGGCATCCCTGTCTTGTGCCAGTTTTCAAAGGGAATGCTTCCAGTTTTTGCCCATTCAGTACGATATTGGCTGTGGGTTTGTCATAGATAGCTCTTATTATTTTGAGATATGTCCTATCAATACCTAATTTATTGAGAGTTTTTAGCATGAAGGGTTGTTGAATTTTGTCAAAGGCCTTTTCTGCATCTATTGAGATAATCATGTGGCTTTTGTCTTTGGTTCTGTTTATATGCTGGATTACATTTATTGACCAAAACAGAGATATAGATCAATGGAACAGAACAGAGCCCTCAGAAATAACGCCGCATATCTACAACTATCTGATCTTTGACAAACCTGAGAAAAACAAGCAATGGGAAAAGGATTCCCTATTTAATAAAAGGTGCTAGGAAAACTAGCTAGCCATATGTAGAAAGCTGAAACTGGATCCCTTCCTTACACCTTATACAAAAATTAATTCAAGATGGATTAAAGACTTAAACATTAGACCTAAAACCATAAAAACCCTAGAAGAAAACCTAGGCATTACCATTCAGGACATAGTCATGGGCAAGGACTTCATGTCTAAAACACCAAAAGCAATGGCAACAAAAGCCAAAATTGACAAATGGGATCTAATTAAACTAAAGAGCTTCTGCACAGCAAAAGAAACTACCATCAGAGTGAACAGGCAACCTACAACATGGGAGAAAATTTTCGCAACCTACTCATCTGACAAAGGGCTAATATGCAGAATATACAATGAACTCAAACAAATTTCCAAGAAAAAACCAAACAACCCCATCAAAAAGTGGGCGAGGACATGAACAGACACTTCTCAAAAGAAGACATTTATGCAGCCAAAAAACACATGAAAAAATGCTCACCATCACTGGCCATCAGAGAAATGCAAATCAAAACCACAATGAGATACCATCTCACACCAGTCAGAATGACAATCACTAAAAAGTCAGGAAACAACAGGTGCTGGAGAGGATGTGGAGAAATAGGAACACTTTTACATTGTTGGTGGGACTGTAAACTAGTTCAACCATTGTGGAAGTCAGTGTGGTGATTCCTCAGGGATCTAGAACTAGAAATACCATTTGACTCACCCATCCCATTACTGGGTATATACCCAAAGGACTATAAATCATGTTGCTATAAAGACACATGCACACGTATGTTTATTGCAGCACTGTTCACAATAGCAAAGACTTGGAACCAACCTAAATGTCCAACAATAATAGACTGGATTAAGAAAATGTGGCACATATACACCATGGAATACTATGCAGCCATAAAAAATGATGAGTTCATGTCCTTTGTAGGGACATGGATGAAACTGGAAATCATCATTCTCAGTAAACTATCGCAAGGACAAAAAATCAAACACTGCATGTTCTCACTCATAGGTGCGAATTGAACAATGAGAACACATGGACACAAGAAGGGGAACGTCACACTCTGGGGACTGTTGTGGGGTGGGGGGAGGGGGGAGGGATGGCATTAGGAGATGTACCTAATGCTAAATGAGGAGCTAATGGGTGCAGCACACCAGCATGGCACATGTATACATATGTAACTAACCTGCACATTGTGCACATGTACCCTAAAACTTAAAGTATAATAATAATAAAATTAAAAAATAACAAAAATAAAAAATAAATAAAATAATATCTATCAACATATTACACAATATAAAAACAACAAAAAAGTGATCCAGCTTCCAGGAAAGGCAGAGGGTGGCAGTGGGAGCAGAGTCAGGATGGTCATGTTGGAGATCATTTTCTATAAAAACTTTTGAGCTAGGAGATTTCATGAGTTTTGGACTTGCTGAACACTTGGAGCTGCTGTGAGGGTAGTGTGCCCAGACAGGGCATGGGAACTCTGTGACACCTCCCTCCACAACCATGCCCTTAGTATGTCCTCTTTGGGTGATCATCTGTGTCCCTCATAATGCACTGGTAAGCACCAAAACCTTGTGTGAATGAGATTAAGAACACTGCATCCAGATTATCCTCTAAAGTGAGACTTTCTAAAGGACAAAGGACTGTTTCCTGTGCCTCTTACTTTTTTTCTACCCTGCAGCTATGTCTGGGTCCTGCCACACAAGGCTTCCAGATTAGTCAGGAAGAAAGATGCAAACAAAAAGAGAAACAGCAAACTACAGAAGACATCCAAGACAGCCAACAAAAATGTGGCACCAGTCAAGGCTTTAAGCCCTGGAAAATTAAAGCAATTAATTCAAGAAAGAGATGCTAAGAAAAAAACCAGAACCTAAACCATCCATGCCAGTCAGAAGCTTTCTGACAAGAGCTGGAACAGCACACATGAATTTGGATAGGACTGAGGTTTCTTTTCAGAACCCAGGGTTCTTAACCTGCAGTGGGCTCACAGTGGCTCTAAGAAGAACCTTTCTTAGCAGGCGACTCTCCCAAACCCCACTGGTCATAGCCAATTTCAAGAAAGTTCCACCTTCTAAGGGTTTAGAAAAGCTACATGATGATAATTATAAGATACTCACTGACTTGGGAGGAAAGAGCTCAAAAAATGATTCAGTCCCAATGCAAGACACCACATTCTTCTTAATATAGAGGCTCTATCTGGTGTACAAAATCCCTCTTTAATCAAAAGTAAGAGCCAAGAGACAACTCAGTCCTGGTACAAAAGGGTTAAACATTCTCAAATCAATATCCCTACCCTCAGTGGCCCTGCAGCTGAGATTCTTTCTTGTCCATTGGAAAGGACATGCTGTGGTAAAGGACTATTCTCTGAAGAAACATTGAATGATACTAGTGGTTCCCCAAGACTGTTTGCTAAGGGCATTGTGTGTGCTCCTTTGCCACAAAGAACAACTGCCAAAGTTATCTCTCAAGGAAACCCCAGAATTCAATTAGAAGAGTTGGGTTAATGAGTAGAATCCCTTAAGTTATCTGATTCTTACACAGATCCCATTAAAAGTGAATATGATTGCTATCCCACCTCCAGTTTTAATAAGGTTATACCTGTACTGAACCTTAGAAACTGGATGGCTCTTGGTAGATCTACATCTTCTACATGTCTAAGAAAATTCCTTTTGGCAGGCTAAGAACAAGCAACCCTTGGTGCTAAACCAGATCATCAAGAGGCCCTCAAAGCTACTACAAATCAACAGGAAGTTGCTAATACCACCTCTGTCCTAGGACAGATCTTCAGTGCTATCCCACATCAGTGGCAACTTCATGCCAAGGCCCTGGGTAAGACCCCAGATCCAACAAAGGTTCCTGGTGCTATTCCAGTCCAAGAAGAGCTCTTTGGTACTATCTTAGACCAACAACAAACCCTTGGTATGAGTGGGGGCATTGCCCCGTACTTGCCTCTCTTCCTTCCTGTTCCTCCAAATCTAAGTGCTACCTATCAGGCTCCTCCCAAATGGCCTGAGCCCTATGGCACTGTCTCATATGGGTTTGTGGTCCAGAGTGCTATATACATTTTGCCTTTGGACTCAGGACACACTCCTCAATCATCATCAACCCCAGAGAAAAATTCATTACCTCCAGCAATGGCTATAAGCAATGTAGAAAATGAAAAGCAAGTTCATATAAGCTTTCTGCCAGATAACACTCGGGGTTTCCTAATAGCCCCTGAGAGAAGACTCTTCCATGCTTCACTGGGTATTGCCCAACTCTCCCAGGCAGGTCCCAGCGAATCAGAAAGAGGGAGCTCCCAGGTCAGCATAACCAGCACAGTTCATGTTGTCAACACCACAGTGGTGACTATGCCAGCTTGACTGGTCAGTATCTCCTCTTCTCCTTCTTAAACCACTTTATCACCCACTTTGAAAAAAAAAGGAAATGAAAGCAATATGAGGTCTGTGAACCCTACCAGCAGAAGTGCAACTTTGGTGAATGCACTAGTTGCAAGAAGAGAAAGAACAGCCATCAGATCTTAAGAAGAGGAAATGTTAGGAGCTGAAAAAGACATCATCTGTCATTGTGCCTTTGGAGGTTATAAAGGAAATCAAGAGACCCCAGAGGGAAAAGAAACTCAAAGTTTTAAAGGCAGATTTTGACAACAAATCAGTAAATGTCCCCAAGTCAGAATCCATGGACTACAATAGATGGGGAAGAACAAGGATTGGAATTGAATCCACATCCCCTTGAAATTATAACTAAACTTGAAGAATGCATGACAGCCATTGAGGTGGAGAAGATGTAAAACAAGAAATTACATTTAACTGATCATGTCAAAGGAGATTTCAGTGCTAATGTCCCAGAAGCTGAAAAATCGAAAAACTCTGAAGTTGACAAGAGACAAACCTCCAAAATTGTTTGTACAAACTGTAAGAAATGGCACTAAACATGTACACTATTTATCAATGGAAACAAATGTGTCATTTAAAAAATTTAATATTGAAGAATTTGGCAAGACATTTAAAAACAATCTTATAAATTCCTAAAAGACACCTGCCATGAGCTCTGTTGCTACTAATGCAAGTTGTTATCATCTCAAAGGAGAAGTAATGTTTTAGTCTTCCAGCAGTCTGGCTTTAACTGCAATTCCATTCCACATTCTTCACACTCCAACATACACTGTCATGGTAGTACACACAATGAAGTTGATAAACCACAAACTCCTGAGGTTATACCAAGTAAAGAACCAAAAGATGGATCTCAACCAAGTCTCTTATCCTTAATGAAAGGTAAGAGATTAACACTGGAGGAAGTGGCAGCCATAGAGGTCTTGACTCAGCTCTCAGAAGCCCCACCAGAGAATTCTTCCCCATCAAAGTCAGAGAATGATGAAGAATCAGAGCAGAGAACAGCTAGTTATCTCTTTTTAAGCCAGAATTAAATTCATCCAAGAGTGATACCAATGAAAGTATTACTCAAGGTAGAATTACTCTTGACAGTTGTTGCAAGAATTTCCATCAGTTGCCCCTAAAAAATAACAAGTTGGGATATTGTAACCAGTTACTGGACAGTAGCAAAAAAGAAAAATTGGTATAGATGGCCTATCAGGTCAAGATGCAGCTCATACTCAAATTGAAGAACATGTTGCAATACAGTTGACATAACTTGCTTCAATAATTAATTTCAATTATATAAAACCAGAGGACAAAAATGTTGAAAGTACACTGACAAGCCTTGTTGCATGTAATGTACAGCAAAAATACAATCAGGAGAAGGGTGTAATACAATAGAAACCACCTTCAAGTGTCCAAAATAATCATAGTTCATCATTAACAAAGTAAAAGAACACAACCCAGAAAAAGACAAAATCTACCTCATCAGGAGATTGTTGGAAAAAGAAGCCCATGCTTGCTGTTAAAGAGCATCTCATGTACCAGAGACTGACAACATTACCTTATATCTCTCATGAGACATCCTTACTGAAGTCAGCACCAACTCTTAGGAGTGTAAATATTGCATGTTCAGGTGGAATTACAATGGTTTCTACCAAAAGTGAAGAGGAAGTAGGTTCACCCACTGTTGAAACATCAGTTTTCCACAGCAAAGCATGCACAGAGAAATTCTGGTGAATATGCCATGAATTTCTTTACTATCCCTACAAAACACCTGATGTCTATAACTAAAGATTCTGAACTGCCCACCTGCAACTGTCTTGATCGAGTTACACGAAAAATCAAAGGCTCATATTATATACACCTGAGGCAGGACCAGGTGTTGCTGCTGTCAGGGAAATCATGGTGAATATGTATTGTGAAAAAGGAAACATAATAAGGATAGAAACAGTAGTGTACACTGGTAATGAAGGGAAAAGCTCTAATAGGTGTCCAATCATTAAGTGGGTTTTAACAAGAAGCAGTGATACAGAAAAAGCTCTCTGGTCTAGCAGTGTACAGGCCACCACTGTCCAACTGCTGTGATAGTGATGCTCATCATGGTGTGGGATGGCAATCGCTTCTCAGTGGCTGACTGGCTGTACACAGAGCTCACCAAGAATCTAAGGTCATACAGTATGCATCCCACCAACCGAAGATGCACCCTCCATTAAAATCGTACCTGTACATGTTAAGGAATTGATCCAGAGACATGTGGCACTTCATTCTCCTTTGGCTGTTCATGGAGTATGTACTTTAATGGCTGTAAGTTTGGTAGCGGCCCAAGCTCCAGAAGATTTAGAATTGATTCAAGCTCTCTCTTACATACCTACTATGAAAGAATTACTAAAGGACATAATCCAGAAAGACAATATATAAAACTGGAACAAATTTGTGTGGAACATGAGGCCATGGAAAAAAACCTTGAAGATAACTTAAAGAATTTGGCTACACAATTAGTTCCAATATATAAGCAACATGCTCCATTAGCTTACCAAAATCAGGTGGAACATGAAAATGTTGCACGAGAATGTTAGCTTGGCAGCAAGAATAGTTTTTCCTTCTCTGGCATCATAGCTTGCCTGGACTTCTCTGCCCAACCCCACAGAGACATTCACAACATGAATAATGGAAGCACTGTGGTTTGTACTTTAATTCAAGAAGATAACTGCTCTTTGGGTGTTATTCCTCAAGATAAGCAGCTCCATGTGCTACTTCTTTATACACTTTCAGACACAGATGAGTTTGGCTGAAGGGAGGGAATGGAAGCCAAGATCAAATCTGGGACCATTGAGGTCCTGGCACCTTGATGCAAAGAAAAAAAAAAAAAAGAAGAACATGTTTCATTCAGCCTGTTCCCAAGTTCTGAGAAGAAGAGGGCTGTGATGATGATGGAGGTTCTTGCATGTAAGATAAGGGCAGTGGAGAAAAAACCCATTCCCCAAATCAAGTGGAGGAATAACTCAGCAACAATAAACCTCAGTAAGGCTTTACTGCTGCCAATCTTCGCAATTAAAACAGAGACAGTGCAACCTAAAGTAAAGGAACCCTATTTTATCTTAAAAGATTTGTGAGGCCACAACACTAAAACCTATTCTCTGATTCCATCCATTTGTCACCCAGTGAAAGAGGCCATTCCATCTCCAGGCTTCTCCTGGTCCCCGAAGACTGCTTCAGCCACCCAGCTCTATTGAAGAAGGATGCAACAGTCCCCTACAGGTTTTCAGAAAGAAGTAGCATTCCCCACTGCTCACTGCACGATGCCTTCTGGAAGACTCAGTGGTGCCAATGCAGCTGCTGCGGAATGCTCTAGAATTGCACAGCCTGGCGAAGTGGCTTCTCCCCCCACTCTGTCTCCCCCTGTGACAGAGCCCTTGGTTTCTTCTCAGCCTCCCACTGGTCTAACTGAACCACTAACTTCTCATCAGCCAAGCCAGCAGCACCCCTTCCTCAACTCTTCTCAAGACCTCGCCTCTTTGATGGAAGATGATGAGCAGCATTCTGAAGCAAATGAGCCTCTATCAAACTAGTTGCTATCTGATGACTGCCTGTCACCTGCTGAAAAGAAATTGTCCCACCTAGGTGAGTATTGGTCAGACAGTGAGCACATATTTTTGGCTGCATATATTGGTCGGGTGGTCATGGCACAGCTCAGTTTTGATTCAGTGTGCCCTGTGAGAGCTTCACACTATGACTCCTGTGAGCATCTAAAGCCTAGTCAATCAATTCACCTCTCCCTTGTCTTTTACCAGCACAAAAACCTGAATAAGTCCCAACATGATCCTGAACTAAACAAAATTAAGTTTCAGGCTAAAGAAGCTAAGAATGAGAAAATGAAGGCTTCAGAGCAAAAAGACCAGGAAGCTGATGAAGGTCCTGAACTGCCCTCTAAGGAAATTATTTTAACCAAGTTCCTTCTCATAAAGCATTAACATTAACCCAAGACAATGGTGTCACCACATTTCCTTATGCTCTCACATACATTGCGGTGCCCTATAACCATTGGGTCTGAAGGCATTTCCCCGCCTCTTAATGCCCTTGCTAGTGCACTGTACTTTTTCAAGGTGCTATTAAAAGAAAATCATGTGCTGTTTACTCTGTTTTCTTCTAACTTATTTCAAGTCTGAGATAAAAAAAAAATGAGGTGAGTATTCTTAACTGAGATTATATTTTGACAATTGGTAGAAGCTGCACATTTTAAGCAAAAATAAAAGTTTTATTGTTTTAAATACAAAAAAATAAAAATTATGCTTAATTCAATAGATCTAGAAAAGGTAGTTGAAAAATTCAATTTGCTTATGATTTTAAAATATAATTAGTATTCTTAGCAGACTAGCACTAATATTGAACCTCCTTAATCTAGACAGACACATTTGTAAAACTATACCTACATGATAATCATGACACATTAACTGTACTATTAAGCTAATACAAGATTATAAATGTCTACATTGTCATTTCTCTTCCCTCAGAATATTTCAACACCTAGCCAACTGTGAAAAAAAGAATTAAGATTAGCAAAAATCAAAAAAAAAGCAAGAAAAACAAACAAAAGACAACAATGTATCCTACCTTTCATTCAATTGCAAGCAATTTGGAGCTGTTTATATTTCACATTTTTCCAGTAGAGTAGTCATTATTAGTATAATTTGTTGCTAACTCTTTGGTCAAATTTTGTAGAAACGCTCTGGTGAATAGTAAACATTCTAAGGAAAGTGAAGAGCCCTTACAGCTGAAAGCATTCAGCTTTGAAGGGTTAGTTAGACAAAGCTTTCAGAAAGGTTTGCTATAGCTCTTATCTGTATTTGCTTCTACAGTAAATGAATCTCTGTCATTGTATAGTTTTCTTGATTTGCTGTCATTATGAAGGGTTTATATAAGGCAAGTGTTTGCTCGAGGAACATTATTACTTCAATTTATAGAGAATTGATTCCTAACAACTCTGCTTCATTGAATAAAATCTTCTATCACAGAGGTTCAAGTTTAGGAGCTTTAAAACATGGTCATTTCTGCTTCCTTGTCTTGAATAAGGGTCTTAAAGTAGTGTTTTAGTCCCTTTTGCTTTGTATTCTTTCCCATTTTTTTCATTAATCAACTTGTTTTCCTTTTATTTTTAGTTGACATGTGATAATTGTAGGTTTTTATGGGATACAAAGCATAATGATTAAATCAGGGTAGTTAGCCTGTCCATCTCCTGGAATATTTATCATTTTTTTGTGTGGGCAGTTTTTGCACGTGGCTGCTTGTTTCAAAACCATTAACCCTTACCTGATTTTATTTTATTATTATGCCATATTTCAAAAACAAATCTAGATTTTGGTCCATTTTGTTTGATTTTTTATTAATAGTCTTTTAGTTGCAATACACAAAATTACAAAGGAAAATGCCATTATATTTAAAAGATGTTCAAAATTTTGTGCCTAGTTTCCTGGTACAGGACACCTTGTGATGCTTAACGAGCAAGCAAATTAGGCATCAATCAATCAGTTAAGTAATTTTGAAACTAGTCCTCTATAATACACAAAGGCAATCATCTATTGATACTTCTATATTGGTTTTGGTGGCAATTGATAAAAACAGAAGCATCGATAACTGGAAAGCATCTATTTTTCTAATTTTTCTTTCTTAGTTACTCATCCTCTTTGATTAATTTTCCACATTTTGCTTTACCCATCTCCACTGCAATGTTCTTTTCTATTCCTTCCATTCAGCAGATAGTGGAAACCGAAAGAAATGAAGCTTAGCGCTGGTAATTTGAGACTTAACAGCATCACCCATTAGCCACAATTCACTGAACAAATTGGACACTTTCGTAGACTAATTAAGTAAATAAATAAAAGTTTCTTTGGCTTGCTTGTAGTGTTTCTACTTTTTTTCGACATTCACGATACATTACATTAAATAATCTTCCTAACAGCATATATTTTAATTTATAAAGAATATTCTAGGATTTTTCAAATGCCAGACTTTGTTAAAAATGGAGTTCTTATGATAATTTAAGAGAGAAGATAATTACAATATGATTTATAAGAAAAAAATAACTACAAGCATGCTGTGTCCCCTCCAAATCTCATCTTTAAACTTACTTCTGGGACAGGCGAGGTAACACATGCCTGTAATCCCAGAGCTTTGGGAGGCCAGAGTGGGTGGATCGCTTGAACCCAGGAGTCTGAGAACAGCTTTGACAACATGGTGAAACACAATCTCTACAAAAAATACAAACACTTAGCTGGGTGTAGTGGTGCATACCTGTGGTCTCAGCTACCTGGGAGACTGAAGTGGAAGGATGACCTGAGCCCTGGAAGCAGAGGCTGCAGTGAGCTTTAATGGTACCACTGCACTTCAGCCTGGGCGACAAAGTGAGAACTTGTCTCAAAAAAAAAAAAAAAAAAAGGAAAGAAACAAAAGAAGCTTAATTTCCAGTGTGTCTGTAATGAGAGGTGGAGCCTTTAAGAAGTGATTGCTTTATGAGAGCTATGCCTCCTGAATGGATTAATCCACGGATTAATGAGTACTCACAGAAGGGGAACTGGTGGCTTTATAAGCAGAGAAAGAAAGACCTGAGCCAGCATATTAGCAAGCTCAACTCCCTTGCCATGCAAATATCTGCACTGACTCAGGGCTCTGCTGAGAGCCTCACCAACAACAAGACCCTCCCCAGATGCGACCCCTGGACCATGGTCTTCTCAAACATGCGGTCTCTGGACCTTGGACTTAGCCCCCATAACTGTAAGAAATAAAATCTTTTTCTTTATAAATTACCCAGTTTCAAGTATTCTGTTATAAGCAACAGAAAACAGACTAATACAATGCATATTTTGTGTGTGTAGCAGTAAAATGTATAGTTCACAGTAGAATAAACAGTGCATTGGTCAACCCTGGCTTCTGGAAAACTTCAGGGCTGCTACAAGTGTATTTCTGTGTGATTTCATTTCTGTCATTTTAGAAACCAGCCCCAGTGAAAGCTATGTTGTTCAAGACCCCAGCCTGGAACTGCCCTCTGGGTTTTTATAGTTTTTAAAGTAATGCAATTGGTTGACCCACCAAACCAGTTCCTTTTGAAGGTATGTAGTAGGTGCTGTCAGAGATGTAAATAGGTGTCCTCCAATACCTTTCAATATTTTTGAGTATTTATTCCTCAGATGTCCATGTCTTTTGTTTCTTACAGGTCTGAGTACCATACATTTCAGAGGACTAATCTTGGCTATTAGACCTGCTTTGCCTAGACAACAGCTACTGGGAATTTATGCCTATCCCACTGTTGGGCAGCCTGGCAGAACAGGCAAGGATTTACTTTTACACCAGTATGAAACTCAGTTATCTTGCCTCCTGTATGGACAAATGCTAAGATATAATTTATATCCCAGAGCTTCCCTCCATGGTCAGGCCGAAGCTGGACTTGGCCTGAACTTGCACCCTTGCCTGGAGCTATCACATTCTTTACCAGTTTATCTGAAAGCATTTCTATAGTAAACCGCTTGCACACTAATCCTGGTCTCATGATCTGCTGCTGCAGAACTTAAGATGGATGATAAAGAAGGCCAGTAGTCATAGCCGTATAAATCCCAACAGATTAAGTGAATTTTCCAAAATCATGGCACCAGTGGATGGTGGGTCAGAAAGTTGAGTCCTGATCTTCTCTTTTAAATGCAGAGTATTGTAAAGCAAACAAACTATAGCTTACATATCATATGATCACATCTGGAATATAATTTCATATCTTCAAAGTGTCTTCAGAATCAATGTTTTCATCGAAAATTACAGGTAAGGTCAGAGGTGATGATGATTTGAGCTGATATGTGCTATTAGGGGAAAAATAAAGAAGAAAAAATCTAAGGGAGATTACGAGCACAGAGTATTGTAATAAATAGGGACATAAAGCTAAGCCTTTTGCAGAGGTGAGATTTGAGCAAATGTTTGAAGGAGGAGAGGTGTTAGGTTATATCAGGGCAAAGAGTGTCTCAAAGAGGGAAAAGCGAGTGAAAAATTTCAATGCCTGATGTGATGTAAGACTGGCAAGGTGTCTAGTGCGGCTGTAGCAGAATTAGTGATGAGGAAAGAAGGTCAGAAAGAGAAGGTCATCTCAGATCATGTAGGACATATCCAACCACTGCTAAAATAAATTTTTACTGATTCTTGACATGCATGTGCATAATACATTTTCCACTGCATATTCCTAAGCCTGAAATGTGTGAGAGATTGTAAAATAGAATTCAGTGTGAGACACAGATGAAAGAACAAGAACAACTGCTTCACTGAAAATTGAGTAACATTAGCCTGATAGTTAACTTCTGACTTTTGCTCTCTGTGACACAACTCCACCATGGAGACTCAAAATAATGGACTTGATGGGTAATCATGGTTCCTAAGAAATTCCAAACTACACTGGAGTAGCACAGAGCTCCAAAACAAACCAATCCTGAAATGGCAAGGAAAGGATTTGTTTCAAGTAATCTATTACTTTTCCTTTTCCTCACTGTGGCTTTTTTTTTCCTTCTTTCACTGTGGCTTTTGCCATTTAAAGTTCTACTCTTAGCCTGTGCAACATAGTGAGTCGCTGTCTCTAAAAAAAGTTAAAATAAAAAAGTTTGACTTGCCTTTCATTAAGGAGATGGTCTTCCTTATATACACCACTATAAGAGTAAATCTTCAATGCATTGAACTGATTGTAAGTTATATTCACAGTTAATCTGAAGGTGCTGGCCCACAGAGACTAATTCCTCTGCATTGGAACAAATTTCCTCTGTCTTTCATGGTAGAAACACTGTTTAGTATAAGCAAAGCCATAGATGTTTATTTTTTTTTTTTTACATTTTATTTTAACCTAGTTGGAAAGACTTGTCTTCTACTAGGAGATGAAAATCACTGAAAAGATTAATTAAGATTAATTTTAACAGTAAAATGATTTTGTCTTTGGTTCAAAAATATTCTGACTGTTATGTAAAAATAGACATAACAAGGGCAAAGATAGACACAGCGAGACGCGTTAGGTTATAGAAGTAAACACAGTGCAGTGGATGCTGTTGGCAGTGCTGAGATTCTGCTCATTCACAGAGCTTATTGGCTGCTGATGACTCATCTGAATACCCTCTCCAGGAACTGACTTCAGCTGACAGCTACTGCTCAGTCCCAGATAATTTGCCTCTCTTAGGAGCAAGGCATTTCTACTGACTGATGGATGGTGCTGTGTGGGGAGGGGATCTCCGAAGAGCAATTCCAGCTCCAAAGTTCTGTGAAATTGGCTGACGCCAACATTGCAAATACATTCCAGTTCATCTCCTCCCTTGCCCAATTCTGCTTCCCAAGATTTCCCTCCATAAATATTGCTCCCAGAAACATTTCTCTCAAAATCTCCTGAAGATAATCGCGGTATCTGAATATGTTTCCTGTAGAATGCCACCTAAAAGGACTCGCAAATAGGGTGCAAAGTATAGAGAAAGACACGAGTCAAAAACTCAAGTTTCAGCCAAAAGAAAATTGAACTGAAGTCATCCCAAATAAGGTAAGTTGGAGGTAGAACAGGTTTGAGAAAAAGACCAGAGTTTAAATTTAGGACATAAAATATTTGAGATATCTATTAAACACTCAAGTGAGTATGCCAAGTAGGCAATGGGATATATAAATCTGGATGTTAAATAGAGTAGGATAGAGAAAGAAATGAGGCAACTGTCAGCATATTGATTATTTTAAATATGATTTTTGCATGGGAGAGAATATAGTCTGATTTTACATCATAGAAGGATACAGTCTCTATCAGCTTTTAGATTTTACTGACCATTTAAATCAAATATATGTGTGCATTTTGGGGTGTAGTTAAAAATTCTATTCTCTGTTAGATGTAGAGTTCTACACATAGAATGCAAATTTATTAATCATATCATTTATGAGGCATGTCTATATAAATACATGGATATTGATATAGTTTGGCCATGTCCCCACCCAAATCTAATCTTGAATTGAAGTTCCCATAATCCCCACGTGTTGTGGGAGGGACACAGTGGGAAGTAACTGAATAATGGGGGCAGTTACCCCCATGCTATTCTCATGACAGTGAGTGAATTCTCACGAGATGTGATGGTTTTATGAGGTGCTTTCCCCCTTTGCACAGCACTTCTTTCTCCTGACATCTTGTGAAGAAGGATGTGTTTGCTTCTCCGTAAGTTTCCTGAGGCCTTCCCAGCCATATGGAACTGTGAGCAAATAAACCTCTTTTCTTTATAAATCACCCAATCTTGGGTATTTCTTTACAGCAATGTGAGAATGGACTAATGCAGATACATGCATATGTTCATATATTGTGTATATATGCATGCATAATACAATTTTTATACACAGCATCTCTGTGCATTATCTTAATTAACATTATTTAATCATTAAGAATTTTGCTTATTTTTAAATCTTCATTTATTTTTGAGATAGATTTGTTAAATACCATTATTGCTTTCTCTGTTTCTCTCTACAGCTCTCTCAATTGTACTTATGTATATTTTGAAAATGAGTTGATAGAATACATTTTAAGATGAGTAAAAGAAAAATAAACATTTTACCAGCACAAAGTATTTTGTTTCTTACAATGTTTGCTTTAAATTTTATTTTGTCAAAAATAGAACACAACTGAGTTTTAATTGATATTTGCCTAATCTGTTTTTCCCCTTCTGTTTCAAAATTTCCATGCTTTTTGTTAAGTGTAGCTTCTGAAAATGATATTATAATTGAATCCTGTTTTTCTAAAACTTAATTTGAAAACCTTTGAATTTTGATACTGTAGTATAGGCAGTTTCCATTTGAGTATTGCTAAAATTTAGGACTGATTTCAGGTGTTTAAAAATATTTTCTCTTTATAGTATTTTTTCTTTTTTTCTGAATTTTAATATTAAGATTCTTTTCTATTTAAGGGTCATATATGTTATACAGTCCATTTTTATTCTTATATTTGTTCCCTGTTCATATTTCTTAATTAAAAAATAAGAGCTGCACCTTTCCCTAATAAAATTCATACATCATATCATGGATACATACTCCTTTGATTTCTCCCCTGCTTTGATCATTGGTCTATCATCATGATTATATGTCTAACATTTTAGTTCTGGGATGATTTTTTTCTTTCTCTTCTTCTGAGTCTTTCTTCACCTTATCCTCCTCCTTTATTTTCCTCACTATGAATATTTCACTAGACAACAATAAACTTTACCTTATGTATCTATTGCAATATATTCTTTGACTGATTTCTTTTCTTATTGAATATCTCTTCCTAAAAGTATTTAACTGGCCTGGTGTGGTGGCTCACACCTGGAATCCCAGCACTTTGGGAGGCCGAGGCAAGCGGATCAGTTGATGTCAGGAGATCCAGCCCATCCTAGCTAACATGGTGAAATCCCATCTCTACTAAAAATACAAAAAAAAAAAAAAATTAGCCGGGGGTGGTGGCACACGCCTATAATCCCAGCTACTCAGGAAGCTGAGGCAGGAGAATGGCGTGAACCTGGGAGGTGGAGCTTGCAGTGAGCCAAGATCATGCCACTGCACTCCAGCCTGGGCGACAGAAGGAGACTTGGTCTAAAAATAATAATAATAATAATAATACAAAAATTAGCTGGGTGTGGTGGTAGGCACCCGTAATCCCAGCTACTAGGGAGGCTGAGGCAGGAGAATAGCTTGAACCTGGGAGGCAGACGTTGTAGTGAGCCAAGATCGCGCCCTTGCACTCAAGCCTGGGCAACAGAGTGACACTCTGTCAAAAACAAAACAAAACAAAAAAAAAAGCATTTAACTGTGGATCTTCACCTGACAGATAAACCCTTTGGTATCATTGAGTCCTGGGAATATTTTTATTACATCCATACCTTTGAACAACAATTTGGTTGGAAATAAATCTAAGTACAAAGTTATTTTTCTTCGAAACTTATAACTATTATTCCCTTTCCAATATTGAAAATGAGAAGTCTGGTATTAATCTCCTTCTTAATTCTTTATAAATCATAGGCCTTTAAACTTTGCTTTCTGTGTGCTTTTAGCATTTTCTCTTAAGTTTTAATATTTTTGATTTCATTATTATATATTTAAATGTGGATTATTTCTATATTTAATATTTAAAATTTGTTTTTTATTTTGCATTAAAATTTATTTTACCTTATTATTAATTTATTTTATCTCATTATATACTATTTAAATGTCTGTATATAAAATCTTTGTCCATTTGTTCTAAGAATTCTGCTTCAGTTGGTGTAAGATGAATAGTTAACATTTCTTCAGAGTGTTTTCTATTTCTTAGATGGCTTTTTTTTTGGCATATGAGTACAAGGTTCCCTGACAGTAATTGCTACTCAATCTGGTAATCTTTTCTGGAAATGGGCAAAAGGCTAGCCCTGTAGCCAGAATCTCAGGGAAGGGAACCAAGAAATCACAGAAAGATAATGTATCATTCACATTTGTGGTTCCTTACCAGGCAATTACTTGCCACTTTTTCTCCCATTTAACTATTGGGAAAAATTAGCATTGCAAAAACCTGCTTCCTTAGCTTTGAATGGGAACTTTGAACGGTAGAAATTGAGGAACAAATGCTCAAGGGCAGATCAACTGGTTCACAACCACCATTTTTCATAGATTCCCTAACCCAATGGGCATTTATGCTGTATTGGGTTCATCCCTCCCCACTATTAGAACAAGAACTTTTGCAGAAAATTTCTATGTGAAACACTAAAGTGAAGGATAGGAATAAGGTGAAGTTAAATGATTCCTTTCAACCTATCATCTTACTGACATCTTCACCTTTATTCCCATCCTTGTCACCAGTTCAGGACAATACTGAGTCTACCCAAGAGCTTCACAAAGGTGTTTGTTTGTTTCTGGCTTATTCCTGAAAAATTTGTATCCCTTTTCTATATTTTCTCTTGGACTAGTTTTAGGGGAAGCTAGCATGATGCTAGTTTGCCATTAGTACAGGACAGATATTAGAAGCATTTTATTCTTTACTTGATTCATTAATGTCTACCCATCTTTTCTTTTGAAAATTTCATCTTCATTAGTACAATTCCAACTTTCTCTCATGAACTCATATATAACATTGCCTTTGCATTTACAATATTTTAAATATCTCGAACAATTTAAAAATAGAAATTAGAATTAGTCTGATAATAAAAATGTTATGATAATAAACATTCCTTTTATTCAGTAACCCAAATAATATTATTTTGTCCTATTATAATGCAATTAGCATTGCGAATAATTAACACAATTTGTAAAATAGAAACATGAGACACTCTTTGCCATTGAGAAATACATAATGTATATTATAGAACAAATGTAATATGTAAGAGAATTATAATACATGATTATATAATTAGTAATATCCCTCCTATCTTAGTTTGGACTGCTATAACACAAATATCATAGACTGGGTAATTTAAATAACTTTTGTTTCTCACAGTTCTGGAGTCTGGGAAGTCCAAGATCAAGGAACTGGCAGTGTCTGGTGAGGACGCTCTTCCTAGTTTGCAGAGGTGTCTTCTCCTTGTATCCTGACATTTTAGTCGGGGAGTAAGAGAGGGAAGCACTGTCCTATAGTGTTTCTTCTTATAAAGGCACACATCCCAACATGAAGGATCCATCTTCATGACCTAATCACCTCCCAAATGCCCCATCTTTAAATACCATCACATTTGCTATTAGCCTTTCAATATATGAATTTTGGGGAACACAAACATGCAGCCCATATCACTTCCTATAAATATTGCAATTCATCTATACACATGCTGATATGGTTTGGCCATTACCCCACCCAAATCTCATTTTGAACTGTAGCTCCCATAATTCCCAGATGTCTTGGGAAGGACCCAGTGGGAGGTTATTGAATCATGGGAGTGGGTCTTTCCCTTGTTGTTCTCATAATAGTGAATCAGTATCATGAGATCTTATGGTTTCATACATGGGAGTTCCTCTGCACGAGCTCTCTTGCCTGCCACCATGTATGTGTCCCCTTGCTTTTCCTATGTCTTCTGCCATAATTGTGAGGCCTCCCCAGCCATGTGGAACTGTGGGTCCATTAAACCTCTGTCCTTTATAAATTACCCAGTCTTGGGTATGTCTTTATTTGCAGTGTGAGAACAGACTAATACATGTGCCTACTATTTTCTGCCAGACTAGAGCAAGACAAGCACGTGCAAGTATTATATCTTAGTTTTTAAAATAAAAATTTCTTAAGTAAGAGTTGTTAAATAAGTATTCACTAAAGGAGTGAAATTTCAGGATTTTAATTAAAGAAAATATCAGCTTAGAATGCAGTAAAGAAGGAAGATCATGAAAATGTCAACTTGGGGTTGTTCTTGAAAAGTTTGAAGGTTTACTCAGGCAAAAAGGTTGACAAAGGTTAATTAATATATAATAATTAATATTTGACATAATGGATTCATGACAATTAATAGGAAAAGGACAGTGGCAAGAGTAAACCAGTGCAATTTTGAAGGAGTGATGGGAAATAAGCTTTAATTAAAAAGTTCATGTCATGCTTTAGGGACTTTAGAAGATATCTAATAATATGTGGCACCTATTTCTCAGACAATGTGCTAAGTGATGTTCTAAAATATTATTTGCAATTCAGTCTACCATTCATTAACTTCATGCTTCAAATGAAGAAACCGAGGCTCAGGAAAAAAGATAAAGGAAAGAATAAAAGAGATAAAATTAAAGTAAACCTGAACTTCATGTATCAGAGGAAGCAATTGTGAATGACAATCACGATCTTAAGATCACACAAGAACATTTTGTAGAATTGTAGGAGTGTTTTTGTTCCATGAATATCCTATTTCTCTGTTGGAAAGTAAGTTGGAGAACTTTGGACTAGATCTGATAAAAAATAATGATTCATGTTTTTTTGTTAATGGAAACAATGGAAGCATAATTATGATAGTGGCTGAAAAGCATTAACAAAATAATGACACTTAAGGTAATGAAAGTGCTTACTACCCTGCCGGGCCCTGAGCTAAGCATATTGTATGCACTGTCAAAAAGTACTTTGAGCAAGCCATTATTATACCAGTCTTACAGGTAAAGGCAAGTATTTATGGAGATTGTGTAAATTGTTGAAAGCTGCATATCTAGTAGGTAGTGAAAAATGCAGGCCTATCTTAAAGTGCATGCTTTGCCACCAAAAGTTTAAAAAATGTAATATATTAACACTATTTAATAAGATTGCTATGGAATGTGAGTTTCTCTGAAGAAATACTCTGAAGGACTTTGAGGCTTAATACTGGAGATTAATGAGACAGATGAGTCACTTGGAACTAAAATTATTCTGAACCTAATCTAGTCTTTTTTTGATGATTCAGAATGCATTTTGGGAGCTTCATTATCAACACAAATTATCATTATACTGGTGATTCAAAATGCTGGATGATAAGAATATTCAACAAGATCATGTAACATGGGAATGATTCATTTCATGAATAGCTAACTTTATTAGATTATATAGTTACATCCAATTCAAAATGTCCTTCATGGAGTAAGAAAGTAACAATTTTTACCCTACTTTAAAAGAAGAATAGAATAGATTAAAAATCTTGCCCAAAGTGGTGTTAAAAAGTTACAGAACCAAAGCTAAAATCAATAAAACTGATTTCAGTGTTATTCATTAATTACCAAAATATGTTCACCAGAATAATTGTCCTCCAGGGTGATGGTGATTATCCAGTTCAAACAGGTGGGAATTTGTTGCCCGGAGTGGTGGGGGAGGAGGGGATCTTTTATAAGTAAATTAGTTTCAATTTTGCATATGGAAAAGGTGTCCAAATCATAATTGAGTATAATATTCAGGTTTACATCCAAGGCAGAATTTCACTAAGACTTCTGATGGCCATTTAGTTTTGCAAAACTTCCCACATAATATGTACACACATAGATGCTCTGAATTTCCATAAATTTTGAAAAAACCATCTTGTAATCCGTGCATTATTTCTATTGTCCTGAAATTATTGCAATTATTCTATTTTCAATTGCTAAGATTATTGAAAATGACTGGCAATTTATCTCCATCATCATCTTCTCAATTTCTGTTGGATTGTCTTTAACACTCAGTGAATGAGGGTATTTATTTGCATCAGTAGAATATCGGCTCCATGGCATTCCCATGTTCTCACTGTTCAAATATGAATTATTTGTATCTCCATTGCCAGAATAGATTTATTAATAATCTTAAAGAAAATCCTGTAGCATTCCCCTTCACTGTTTTGAAACTCTTTATGAATTTGTGCTATTTAAATTATTCACGAAAGTGTTAAATGACTGGCTTATTTTTTAACGAATAGAACATATTAATAAGAAAAATCTTGAAATAAAAGTTTATCTTTTCTGGCAATATATTGCACTAGAAACTATGAGAACCCTTGCAGTAGCAACTACTGAAAAATGTTGAGTAAACTAAATCAAACAAACGTTTGTAGCTGAGCTCCCAATTAGGTACAGGATTAACCAGAGGACACAAATGAAGAGGAAACTGAAAATGAGACTGTGCATGGTCCAAACAGTTTAGTGGTTGAGGCTGAGACAGAAGGGAGCTACTGTGCTTAGAATTCGGGGTTTAAATGTCACTCCTGCACATAAGAAAAGGCTTTCAATTTAAACAAAGCAGAGCTGAGAAACAGTAAAATTAATGTCTCAAGAATGTACTATAATCATAATGGAAGAGTATATACACAAAAAATTCTGGACAGTAAGGAAAATAACCTGAAATGGATGTTTTCTATCTTCATCTGGATTCTGAATAAAATAAAATAATAACTTTTTTTTTTTTTTTGAGGCGGAGTCTCGCTCTGTCACCCAGGCTGGACTGCAGTGGCGCGATCTCTGCTCACCACAAGTTCCGCCTCCCGGCTTCACGCCATTCTCCTGCCTCAGCCTCCCGAGTAGCTGGGACTACAGGTGCCCGCCACCACGCCCTGCTAATTTTTGTACTTTCAGTAGAGACGGGGTTTCACAGTGTTACCAGGATGGTCTCGATCTCCTGACCTCGTGATCCGCCCGCCTCAGCCTCCCAAAGTGCTGGGATTACAGGCGTGAGCCACCGTGCCCAGCCAAAGTAATAATAATTAAACTTTACAATCTTTTATCAAAGAATTGACCTAAGATTTGTAGTTAGAATTTAGTCTTTCTTCCTGGAACACCCAATCTAATACAAAACTTTCACCCGGTAATGGCTTTCAGAAGAATAAGATTCAAATGATTTTTGTTTTAAAAGCTTTTGCAAGATCAGTATGAAAAGAAAATAATTAAGATATAAAGGTAATACTAAATAAGGGGACAGAATTTAACATGCCTATGCATAAAAAGCATCTATTAATACAGTGTAAATATGTAAATCCTCTTCAAATTAAGCTAAAAGCCACATGTAATAAGTTGCAATCAAAATGGTTTTCATGGTAGTTTTTGAGGGTTTTCAAACAGAAATGAAAGAACACAAGATTAAATACAGCCAAAAGTTCTTGAAGAAAGAGATGAGAAGATTTTCTCTATAATATATTCATTCTTATAATCACAGTCCTCATAGTGGTGCCAGTGAAGATAAATCTGTTAGTAAAATAGAGTTTATAGTAGAGAAGCAGACTTATGTCTGTATGGAAATTAGATGTAATGAAGAGCTGTCTTTGCAATTTTCTATTTTCTTTTTTAAGAGACAGTGTCTCATTCTGTCACCCAGGCTGGAGTGCAGTGACATTACCTTGACTCGCTGCAACCTCTGCCTCCCAGGCTCAAGTGATCCTCCCACCTCGGCCTCCCAAGTAGCTGGGACCACAGGCCACCTAGCCTGGCCAATTTTTGTATTTTTTTGGTACAAACAGTGTCTCACTATATTTCCCAGGCTGGTTGTGTCCTCCCATAATGCTGGTGGTACAAGTGTGAGCTACCTTGCCTGGACCTATAAATTTTAGAAGAAAGCAATGATTCCTTGAACAATGTGATGAAAAGAAACCTAGTTATGAATTGGAGAAAGAGAAGTAATAGATTTCTACAATATACTCAATCCAAAAATAGATTTCTTATGCATTAAAGACTAAATGTAGAAGAAAATGTATGTGATTATCTATATGGCATTGATATCAGAAATAATTTTTATATAAAGCAAGATAGAAAAATAAAACATATTTCTAAAATTTGCATTAATAATATTCTGTGCATCCAAATATTTTATACATATATTAAAATGCAAACTACAGACTATAAGATGTTTATAATGCATATAGTTGAGAAATATTCATAGCTAAAATACATAAAGAATTTTAATTTTCATTTTAAAAATTATTTATTTATATTGTAGATTCAGGGGTACTTGTGCAGATTTGTTACACGGGTATATTGCATAATGCAAGGTTTTGTGTTTCTAGTGAACCCATCACACAAATAGTGAACATAGTACTCAGTAATAAGTAATTTTTCAGTCATCACCCCCACTCCACCATCCCCACTTTTGGAGTCCCCAGTGTCTGTTGTTTTCATCTTTATGTCTACGTGTACCCATTGATTAGCTCCCTTTTATAAGTGAGAACAATCTGTATTTGATTTTCTGTTTCTGAGTTATCTCACTTAGGATATTCGCCTTCAGGTGCATCCATGTTGCTGCAAAAGACATGATTTTATTGCAATATATATAAATAAGTTTTAAAAATAAAAACTATAAGTATAATCTGCTTTTTAAAAAATGGTGAAAGATATGGGCATGCAATTTAGAGAGGAGGAGATCTGAATGGCCAATAAAGATAAGAAAGTGCTAAGCTGAATAGAAACTGGAGAAATTAAGGCCACAATGAGGTACATTTTCAAACATATTATACTGGAAAATTTTAAATAGTCTGACAATACCAAGTGTTGGTGATGATGTAGACCAGAGAGAACTCTCATAATTCTGTTGTTAGGAGTAGAAGCTGATACAACCACTTAAAGAGCAATTCTGCAATATGTAATATAATACATTTTCACATTTATGAGAAGCAAATCTGGAGGATGCTGGAGGCTGGATTAATTCCCCCTTTTGATAGTTCAGTGGAGGGCCCGTTCAACTGGAAATGGCTAACCCGCACAGAGACAGTAAGGCTTTGGATAATGCCAGCATTCCTGGCAGGTGGGGCTTTTCATCTTGGTTTTCTGAATGCTTATACTCTATAGTGTAGTTCCTGCCCCTGGATATCTCTTGACAGTCCCTTGTTACTCAGAGAAAATAGATTTTTACTCCTTTGATATGCCCTTGTTACTTAGAGAAAATAGTTTCTTATTCCCTTTAGGCAAATCTAATTGCCTCGCTGATGTGGCAGAAACCTGCATTTTCATAGAGATTTTCTCCTAATCACTTGCCCACACATTTCTCCACAAGACATCTAGAGAACCTGCCATTTCCTGCTTACCAGGTGTAATTAACTTGACAGTATCAATATACTAGACCAGCATAAGGCTTTCTGGAATGTCTGAACAATCAAGGCCTTTATGCAATATGTAAATTGTGGTAGAGAACAAGAGAATTAAGGCATTTGTACGGATGCCCTGATGGGAAATAAAAAGAATGCAGTCATCATATCGATAACCATAAATCAGGTGTCTGAGTTTGTGTTAATCTCTTTCAAAAAACATGTAAAAGTTTTCCACAGCAAATATGATCGAGGTTACCACTAGGTTAAGGTTATGTTAATTTATATCACCTTCCATTATCCATCCAGAGTTTGTGGGGCACACAAAGCAGCAATCCTGAAACTATTAAGTCTTTGGATATGTTATAACTCTTTACTATTCTACTTAGGATATGGCTATTGCTTCTGATTAACTTGGCCAGGAGAAGTGGCCAATGGTTTGAAAGTACTCCCACTTGGTCTTTGTTATGAAAGTTTTTGTTCCATACGGTGGGAAGCCAATATAAGGTTTCTGCAAGCTGATATGTACAGTCATGCATCAGTTAACAAATGGGAATACATTCTGAGAAACGAATCATTAGGTGATTTTGTTATGCAAACAACATGGAGTATACTTACACAAACCTAAGTGGTATAGCTCTGACTACACACCTAGGCTATATGGTATAGCATGTTGCTTCTAGGCTGAAAACCTGAATTTTAACACAATGGAAAATACGTGTGTATCTAAGCATAGAAATGGTATAGTAAAAATATAATTTTATAGCTTTATAGGAACACCATCCATTGTTGACTGAAACGTCATTATGACTGTATATTCATCCCGAGTATTCAGCTTAAAGCATGGAGAAAGGACAACACAATGATACCCCAAAATTGTTTGTCATGAGATGGGCTTGGACCGGGACTTCATTTATTACCTTGCCTCCATATGACCCCACTCTAAAAGGGTACTATGATGACATTTGGGATCCCTAGTATCAGTGCCAGGTAAGATCCTCTAACCAACATTTTTTTCAAATATCTATTAGTTACATTTCTCCTGATACATAATTACTTTGGTAAATTGCCATAGGTTCCATTGGAAAAGGTTCAGAAATATCTGTTATAAAAACAATGTTGGCACTGCAGGATCGTTCCTCAAGAAGATCCAGTCTCTTTTTCAATGGATGATCTTATTGTCTAGGAATTATCCTAGGTACAGAAACTGGGAAAGGAATCATGATTTCCTCTTATAGCTGCCATCATGATTCTTCTCCTGAACAACTCTATCCATTTGACATCTATAATCCAATCCAATATCTTTATTGGCTGCCTATCTGGCCCCTAGGAATACCATAGTTTATTAGCCACTGCTACAGATCCCTATAAGTAAGGTCCTTGATTGCTGTTTCAGGCTTGCTACACATGCTGGAATTAAACCCAACTTGTTTCTGACAAGGTGAGATGCTACCACTTGTCCTCTGCTTTACCAGAATATTATCATTCACATTTACACCAGTAAGCATGGGTTCATAGCTATATCTGTCAGAATACATTCTGGGCTATGGTGGACTGTCACCACCAACCTTTCTGAAGTTGCAGTACTCACTAGCATATTCCTCGTTCCCTTAGTGAAAGGAGTTTTCTGGGCCTTTTCTCTGGCCTTATATACTAAATCTATTCTATCATGCCTATATCTCTGTGCTTCTGACCTCTGTCTAAATACTCTGCCAAGACTGTTCTAGCAGGTCCACTCATTTACTGTAAGCCATCCAATCTTCAGGATTCAAATTTCCATTTCTGGCATCCTTACCAGGAAATTAAATCCTGAGTCATAAAAGAGTCTCTTTCCATATAAATTCACTCTCCCTAATACGGCCTTTTATTTGCATACCCCTGCTCTAATGTGTTTTTAAGAAGCACTCACTTGAATATCCTACTGGTTACTTCTGGTAAATATTAGCAAAGTTCTGCAGATCCTTTGGTGAATGATCCATTTCCTTTCATTTCTTCATTTGGGCCATGTAGAGTCAATCTTAATTATTGATCCAGAAGCAATGAGAACAGGAGACAGGTAAAACCTGAAGATGGAAAACATCAACATACATGGCATCCTCTTCAGGGCTGGTCTTTGCATCATCTCCAGACTTTCGAGGCTACTCTAGTCAAGAAAAATGAAGGGATTGCTTCTATCAGCCTAAGCATTTACATGAACATGTGGATTCAAGGTTTATTAGTACATTCAACCAAAAGTCCCCATATATTCTCTCAGACTCACACTATTTTCTCATCTTTCTTATCAGGGTGCTGATTTTGCCAATGTTATGGTAAAATATTGAGCCTGATTTCAGCATATGCAGGGGAAGATGGCTCTTTTAAACAATGTGATTCAAGGTCTGGTTTTCATGGCAAAGTCTGAATTAATAATTGGATGACCTAAAACTATCTTTTCTTTTTCAAGACTTCCATGAGAGTAACCAAAAGCTAGCCAACTTCACAGTCTTTCTAATTACCATTGCCCTGTATATTTCAACTCCTAGACATGTTGCACAAGCTAGTACTTCCATTTTAGGTATGTCCAATCTAATTAACCACAGGTGAGATTCTTAGTAATTATGAAGTTACAGTGTACCAAGAGCTATCATATTTATTTTATACAATAATGAAATCTTCATTCCCACCTGGGAGGCAAGCAATCATTCTAGAAACCCATCTTGAAGACTTTCATTCTAGAACCACTTCTGGTAACAAATTTGGACATAAGTATTTCAATCAGGAAATAATCAGAAGTACTATGGAGGGAAATTAATATGGTTTGGCTCTGTGTCCCCACCCAAATCTCACCTTGAATTGTAACTCCCATAATCCCCACATGTTGAGGAGGGGACCTGGTGGGAGGTGACTGGATCATGGGGGCAGATTCCCCCTGCTGTTCTCATGATAGTGAGTGAGTTCTCATGAGAGCTGATGGTTTTTATAAGTATTTGACAGTTCCTCCTTCACAGGCTGTCTCTGTCCACCATGGGAAGAAGGTGCCTGCTTTCCCTTCTGTCACGATTGTAAATTTCCTGAGGCCTCTCCATTCATAAGGAACTGTGAGTTAATTAAACCTCTTCCCTTTATACATTACCCACTCTTGGGTATGTCTTTATAGCAGTGTGAAAACAAACATACAGAAATGTTATATGAAATGGACAGAGAAGGAACCAAAGCCAATATTCCTGTGACTGGCTAACCACAGTGGGAAACTGGTTTCAATTCCTCTAGAGACCCTTTAAAAAGCTGTATAGAATATACCCCAGCATTACTAATGCTCCACTTGTCTTTGGAGGGTCAGGAAAATATGCCCCTGCTTCCAAAGGATGTTCTTACACAGAAAGAACTGTCAATAGATGGCCACCCAGGAAAGATCAAGAATATGGGCAGAATGCCAATAGTATCTCCAGTTTCTGTTCAACAATGCAGTTTCCACAGGAGACTATTGGAGGCCCCAATAGCTGATTCAAATGAAAAATTCGAATAGAAAAATATTTATTCTGTAATTTAAAAAAATGTTGCATAGATTAAAACTTCAAAGTAGTTACTTAACTGAAAAAGCTTATACAGTAAACACAAATTAGATCACTAGGAACCTTAAAGATACAGAGAAATTATGGTGTTTTGTCAAGCAATGTATACTTTGGCAGTATATTTCCTATTAGGTTTGCAAGATATCTAAAACTGGTTGATTCTGATAGTAATTATGAAAGTTTACCCCAATAAATATCAGATTCCCATGCTCCATATATTTAATCAAACTGCCTATGCATTCATTTGTTAAAACTTGACATTGCCACAGATATTTTGTTCTTAATTTAATAATTTAAACATAGAAAAATTAATATTTATTCTGATTGATTACACCATATATTTTATGTTCTGGTTATATAACTGTTAGTTAATATAACAGTACACCAATTAATTATGTTTTGATAAAACAGTTAAAGAGTAAATAATTCAGGAATGCCTATTATGTAAAAACTTTAGTATTAAATACAAAAATAATTCAGACAAGAAACATATATTCTATATTTGTGAATGATCTTGAGGAGCTAAGTTTTTAAAAAGTAACAGAATGTAAATCAAAATTTAAAAATCACATGAACAGTTTTGACATGAAGTAATCCTTTTGCCACTTATTAATATTAAAAACATAAAGTGAATTATACCATTTTGAATAACAATTTAATTACTCAGATATATTTATATTAGAAATTTTAAATAATTTTCTTATAAATTATCTAATTTGAATACTCTAGAATTCTATTCAAAATATAAAATCATATAAAAAATTAGTAAGGTCTTTATTTAATGCTTCCTATATGGTTAGCATAACTCTACTGTAGCTTACTATTGACAACACTTTTAAATACCTTAATTTTTTTGTTCTTATTTTAAATGTTCTAAATCATGTTGTACATTTTACATTTTATATACACATTACATGCAATTTTTCTTACAACATATATTATTGTGACACAGCTAATAATCTGCATTAAACTTCAGAATTAGAACTAGAATTAGAATTAGAACCTATATATAGATATATTTATATTATAGAAAATATATATAGCTATGTATTATACCATATATCTACTATATTATATATCTCTTATAATAACTAGAATTAGAACTAGAACTTTTAGCTCTTTCAAATATTTGGCAATATCCATTTTAAGTTTTAAATATAGACAGTGCCCGAAATTAAATACAGTTATGTACCACATAATGACATTTTGGTCAATATCAGACCATATGTAAGATACTGGTCCCATAGATTTTAACGCTGTATTTTTACCGTACCTTTTCTATGTTTAGATATGCTTAGATACACACATACTTACCACTGTGTTACAGTTGCCTGCATTATTCAGTACAGTTACATGTGGCACAGGCTTAAGAGCAATAGGCTATACCACACAGCCTAAGTGTGTAGTAGGTTATACCATATAGGTTTGTGTAAGTACACTCTATGATGTTCCCACAATGACAAAAATTGCCTAAAGCTGAATTCCTCAGAAAGTATCCCCACAGTTAATCAACATATAAATGTATATATAAACTGGTGTGTGTGTGTGTTTGTGTGTACGTGTATACCTTGTGTTTCCAGGTTTAGGAAAGATTTTGGCCTATTGTGGTTTTTATTCTACAAATTAAAATATTTTACTTAACCTTTTAACATATAATTTTATAATGTGGTACAAATATAATTCAAAATAGTGATTGAGTTGTGAGGAAGATGTATTTACCAGGTTCTCATACTTTGCAAAGAGGAAATATATCATTTATTCATGAAAGATTTCCTCCCTTCATAAAGGCTGGTAGGAAAATTTTTTCACATATGGAGAAATTTTTAACATCCAGATGTATTTGTTTCTCATTAAATTCTGATTAGCTGAATAGTTTATAAGAGACAATGCTTAATTCAACCAACAAATCTTACAGACACTATTTTTGAAAAGTTTAGTTTGTGAACGACTTGTATTTCATGTCTCCAGAAAGCATAGTAATAGGTATTTTAAAATTAACTTTAATATATGTGTATAGTAAATATTTTCCATTTTTATTATTAAAATCATTTTTTTGAAAACTAATTGAAGTCTTTGTTTCTTCTTAGTGAATTACCAAAGCAAAGCATACACATTATAAGCTAGCTATCCACATTTTCTCTATGGTAAATATTCTTCAAGTGTAAAGATTAGCATATCTGTGCCCTCCTCACACCATTAGTCTTATCCCTGCCTTGTAAAGATCTCATTCTATAGGGATTTGACTAATGAAGTTTTGGTGCTGAGACAATAATGGCTTCCTCAGAGCAGAGACTGCCAATTCAACCATATTGTGCTGAACTGTAGAGAACTGCGCCAAATTGTGTGTGTCTACTTCAGAAACAAGCTGTTCATTAAAAAGCAAAAGCAAAAAAAAAAAGGTAAGCAGCAAAACAACATCTTAAATAGCAGCTACGAAGTCCTGGCATGCCTTAAACATTTGATTTCTTTTCCCACAGTATCAAAACAGTGAATGTAACCATTTTTTTTGAGTATGAATAAGATTAATAAGCAAACTATATTATCAATTTTATTATCAAACTACATGTAGAGAAATTAAGATTTTTAAAAGCATCTTGCAATTTACAGTAGTGCCTTCAGGTTCAACTATCTTCATTTATTCAAAAATAAAATATTTATTCCAGTGCAACTTTATGCCAGGCACCATGCTAGTCTCTGTGTATACTCTTACTTTCTCATTGTGTTTAAAAATATGTTTTGACATTTTAGATGAGATTTTTCCCACATCAATTCAAACATAAATCAGAGTACTGTAATGTCTTGTGTTAAGATAATGTGGAATCTTGGAGACATTTTAGCCCTTGCTCTAACCAAGATTATCTCCTTGACCACATTCTAGCCAGGCTCCTCATCCTCTTCTGGACGAGGCCTCCACCTAGGCCAAACTCTCAACAGGAATGATTTTGTCCATCCCATCCCCCAACATTAAAAGACTTAAGCAAGCACTGACATCGCTTCTAACAGCTCAAGGTCATATTCCTAGGATGAACTTAGCCTCTCTTAAGTTCCTAAGAAAGCTCTAGACTGCCAAAGAATTTACCATTTGTTCTGGCCAACACCAGAAGATAGGTTCCTGAGAACCCTTCTTAAAGCCTTTACTAAAAAAGCTTTCAATTTTTGATATGGTTAGGCTTTGTGTCCCCACCCAAATCTCATTCTGAATTGTAATCCCATAATCCCCATAATCCCCACGTGTCAAGGGAGAGACCAAGTGGAGGTAATTGAACCATCGGGGTGGATTCCCCAATGCTGTTCTGGTGATAGCGAAGGATTTCTCATGGGATCTGATGGTTTTTTAAGGGGCTCTTCCCCCTTTGCTCAGCACTTCTCCTCTTGCCGCCTTGTGTAGAAAGTGCCTTGCTTCTCCTTTGCCCTCTGCCATGATTGTAAGTTTCCTGAAGCCTCCCCAGCCATGCTGAACTGTGATTCAGTTAAACCTCTTTCCTTTAAAAATTACCCAGTCTCAGGCAGTTTATTATAGCAGTATAAAAATGGACGAATACAATTGTGAAATCCTTCTTTTTTTATTGCGATGTGTATATATATATATCTCAAAACTAAGGAGTGTCTTTCTCACAGAACTGAAAGCAATTCCTTTGTGTGGGCATACAATCCTAACTTCTGTAATTGCCAGCCAGCAAACACAGCTGATCTAATCAGCATTTACACCGAGCAGCCCTTGGTAATTTTTCACTTCCCTGCCTTTCCAAATCTCTGTTCACTCCCCTCTTTACTCCCACATACTCCCTTTAAAACTCCCAGGCACCTCTGTACAAATTGAACGTGAGTTCAGTTCACACTGAGTATACTCGTAAGAGTATATTCCTGATTAAAATCTGTCCTTACCATTTTACTTAGTGTCCAGCTTGGTTTATCTTCGTCAGCTCCACTATCATGCCCTTTTTTTGGTTACTATTTTGTACCTCTGTTGACAAATTAAGTAACAATGGGTTTAGGGACCATTTCTTATTTTTCTGGACCTCCTTTGCTTCTAACGCAGTTGTCAACGAATGGTATAATTTAAAGGTATAATTTTTGCATAAAAATTAAACCAATCAATTGAAAAATAAATTAAGGCAGAAAGGATTCAACAACCAAATATTCATACAACAGAGTATTGCTAAATTGTTATAAATAATACACATTTATATTCATTTATTTTGATTTAATAGAACACCATGGATCTTATAATATTTTTCTCCATCTTTTATATAATTTTTGCATTATTGTTATGTTTCTTTAATCATTTAATAAATTAATCGGTGTGTGATAAACATTCTACTTCTTCTATCAGAGAGACAGAAGATAAATTATGTCCTTAATTTTAAGGAGTTGGGCAAAGAAATTATACCTTCCTCCTCCAACAATCTCAAGATGAATTCAAGGCGATTTAAAACCAAGGCTTTTAGTATTCATATGCATTATATAGCTTTTATGACTACTGCCATGAAAATTAATTTCTTGAAAACTATTGTGTTATAAATTTGGTTTTTAATTTTCCAATATAAACATAAATGTACATAAAGTCTCAGATCATGATTAGTTTCTTAAACTGGTATTATTTTTAAGGCCATTTTTGTTCTCTCTTACTCTTTTAGCCTTAAAATTTATATATAACCATTATTAATCGTCATCTAAATATTTTAACTTTCATTTTCAAGCTACTTGCTCATTTGCTCACAATTTAATATTTTTCCTAAACAGGTATTCCAAATAATTCAAAAATTAATGAGGTAGGCAAATAATTAGCTGACAATTTTTTCAAATTTATTTTATGAAAACACAATCACGCTTCCTCCTAATAGCTAGCATTAATTCATTTTATCTGTATTGATAGCGAGTTGTTTCAAATATTCTTTTTTCATATTTAAACCAGAAACAATAAAGACCGTCTCCTATTCCTTCCATTGCATTTTTAGTATTCTGTTGAATGACTTTTTGATTCTTTTTGTTTGTTTTGAGATGGAGTCTAACTCTGTCGCCCAGGCTGGAGTGCAATGGTGCCATCTCAGCTCACTGCAACCTCCGCCTCCAGGGTTCAAGCAATTCTCATGCCTCAGCCACCCAGGTAGTTGGGACTATAGTTGCCCACCACCACACTTGGCTAATTTTTGTATTTTTATTAGAGAGGAGGTTTCACCATGTTGGCCAGGCTGCTCTCGAACTCCTGAACTCAAATGATCCACCCTCCTCGGCCCCCCAAAGTTCTGGGATTACAGGAGTGAGTCACCGTGCCCTGTTGACTATTTGATTCTTGCATTTTTGTTGAGATCATCTATTCATGTGCCTTTACCATCATCTTTTTTTTTGTTAGAACTTTGTAGAGAATATTGATGACAACCACTTCTGTTTCAAATTATTTTCCAGATCGTTCTTTATGATCTATTAAATCACATAAATGTACAATTTTTTTTTCTATAACATGCTCAAATGTATCAGTCATAGACCTTAGATTTTTTTGTGTGGTCTCTTTGTCTAGAATAGTCTGTGAAGGCAGAAAATATTCTTTATATTTTCTTCAAATTGCACTATATTTGTTTTAGAATGCTTAATCCATTTGGAACTTATTAAACTGTGAGGTGAGAATCTATTTTTTAAAATTATTATCTTTATGCTTTTCTTTAAGTAATCCTTTCCTTTTATATTCCTATTATTTAGTTAGTTTTACTTTTGTGCTTCCTAAATTGAAGATTTAATTAATTCATTTTCAGTTGTTGAGTTCTGGATTATTATTCAACCTGCCACCAGACCATACATATACTATAATTCTGGCTTAAATTCTTTTTGAAAATAGAAATAATACTTGAGATTGTGTGTGTTCAACACAAGCTTAACTTCCAAGGAATTTCATATCATCTATCATTATTTAACTTATGTTAGTTAATGATAGTTAATAACTATCATTAGTTAACTTTTACTATTAACTAATAGTAAAAATGTTATTTTAAATCACTAAAATGATTGCTATCATTTTAATGCATTTTAATGCATATGGCAAGAAAAAAAATCTGCACAATTTCTACTTTAGTAATTTATTGATATTTATTTTGTGGTCTCAGTCATGAAAAATTGTACAAACACATATTGAACCAAAAATTAGTGTATTTTCTCTTTTAAAATGTAGTTAGTAAACATGTTTCAATATCCTTATTTGGCTCTTAGTCTCCTTTTCCAAAGAACTTCTTTCAGCTGTACCCCTTAAAAACATCAAATATTTAAATTATAATAATAATTGTTGTTAACTAGAGTTTAATCATTATATACTATTTTGAAATAAATTTAAAATTTATTATTTTAATTTGTTTGTAATAACTGGTTTCAATGCTCAATTAAATTTATTTTATACTGTAGCCTCTTGATTCTTCCGAATGTAACATCTATTTCTCCCCCACTCAGGAAGAGTATGTAGCTAGTGTTTTAAAAATATCAAGACACATTTTATGTATGTCAAGATATATTTCTGCCGCTTTTAAATACAGAGGCACAATTTTACTAGCTAATTATGAGTCACATTTGCTTACTGTCCAAATTATTTTCTCTTCAGGCATACAATGTTACAGAGAAATTTGAGACCATCCTGATTTTTTTCTTTTGGACTATCAATGTTCTTATTTTTTTTTTCCTGTTTAACTAAAATGGGTATATATGACACTGGTATCTTTGAAAATTAATTTTCCTGGTTTTTGCCATACTCTCATATTATTACTAGCTTTTTCATAGGCTGATTGCTTCTATTTCAGTTGTTATTGTATCTTTCTTAAATCTCAACTACCAAAAGCAACATTATATGTATTTCATCAATATGTATTGCTTTTTGTCTTTTTATAAACCTTTGCCAATATCCTCTGCAACAGAGAAAAAAATCATCAAATCTCTCCTACAAATCACTTGCTTGACTTTCTGCAGGGACAACTCTGCTTTTTGATGGCTATAATAAATATCAATAATGTGATTTTATGTATATTGACTTTATAGCAGTTTTCCAGATCTTTCCCAATTCTTTTTACTTGGCTCCTTATAAAATATCCTATTATTTTTATTTATTATCTTGTGGTTTTATGTTGTTTTATAGTGTTTTTTAATATTTATTTTAAAGCAGCCGGGCGTGGTGGTTCAACACTTGTAATCCCAGCACTTTGGGAGGTGGAGCTGGGCAGATCACGAGGTCAGGAGTTTGAGACCAGCCTGGCCAATATGGTGAAACCCCATCCCTACTAAAAATACAAAAATTAGCCCAATGTGGTGGCACGCACTTTTAGTCCTTGCTACTCGAAAGGCTGAGACAGAAGAATCGCTTGAACCAGGAGGCGGAGGTTGCGGTGAGCCAAGATTATGCCACTGCACTTCAGCCTGGGTGAAAGAGCGAGATTCCTTCTAAAAATATATATACACAGTATATATATATAATATATATTATATATTATATATTTTTTATAATATATATTTTTATATATTATATATATTTTATATATATTATATATGTATTTTATATATAATATATATTTATTTTATATATATTAAAGCAAAAGCAAATGCTTTCAATTTTTTTCTCTATCATCCATCTTCAATATTTCTTCTCCTTTGCTAAGTTTACACAAATTTTAACTGACTCTATGTTAGAATTGTGTGTATTTGTATTCTTGTGTCATTGGTTTTGGGGGTTATTTGCATTGTTTTTGATTTTACTGTTTTTTCTTGCTACTCAATTTAGACATGGAATGGACTCCAGATCTAAGACATAAACTATTTAATAATAATCTCTTTTTCTTGTTATCTGCCTGTGTGCTGTAGCAAAGTTTTTCCTGTATCTTACACAGAGAAGATTTGTAATTTATGTAATGATTTTAATAATCCAAAGAGTGAGTATAGGTGTTAAAATCCATGAGTCTCAACAGGGGAATATTATTTGCCACACTGCAACTTTTAAATTTCTTCTTTTGTTTAAACCAACAAGCAAAGAGCATAGCATAGTGGAGAGTTCACATTGCCTGGATGTGAAGCCAAACTCCACCATCTAGTAGTGTAGGGCCTGGAGAAAGTTTCCTCTTTTCCCTCTGCTTTACATTTCCTAATATACTAAATGGGGATAAACATACTTAGTTACTATATCATTGCACTGTGGTGAGATTTGAGTTAATATACATATGCAAAGTGCTTTGAATAGACTCTGCTTAGAAAAAGTGCTCTTATTTGCCACTATTATAATTATTTCCATTATTAGCAATATTTTTAGGAAGAAGTAAGCATTTTCCTTTATCTGACGTTTTGTATCATTTCCCTTAATTGGCAAGTTCAAGATCACTCTTATGTCCGGTTCCTTTTCCAGGTTAAGCTCTTATCACACCACAAGGACTCTGCTGGTTATAGGGGCGTATCACTTCAGGGACTGTTGAGTGCCTTTGCCAAATACTTCTGATTTTAGAAACAACCATTAGTGAATTCAAATGAAGTTTTTCCCCTCTTCTCCACTACCAGTGTTCACTTTCTGACCTAATCACTCCAAACTAATTTATTCCGGTGATGTTCTTCAGGGTTCTAGAACATGTATTTGTTAGCAATGCTATATTTTTTTCCCTGAGAAGTCACACATCAGAGCTTTCAATTCATTAATGCAGGATATAGGAAGAATTCCTCAGTTTTTGACATATAGACAAATGGCACTTTTATATAGCTTAGCACAATCCTAGAGTTTTCAGTGTTTTTTTGTTTTCTGTTCATATTATACATAATGCTGTGGATCTATGGATATGGGAGAGGGAGCAATCAGTGGAGAAGTCAGTTAGATACTGTGTTCATCACGTGAACTTTCTGCCCACAAGTCTGAACAAACGTAATTACGTATTCCTTTATATATCTAAATAGAGTATCAGGAATGTCCTGTCATATTGTTTTCCAATGGTATATTATGTTCTCAGTAATGTAATGTTACTTATCCTACTTATCGATCCATTTGGCAAATGTTTACTATATATCTAATCTATGCAGTGAATGAAAAGTCGCTAGATTAATGGAGTTCTCTCCAGTAGAGAAACTTTCATATACTGAGGGGAGGCAACCAATATAAGCAAATATTCACATGCAAGGCAAGCACAGATTGAAATAGCCCTTAAAGGAAATAAAAATAAATGCTCTAATAGAGAGTAAAAGCGGATTCAACTAGCATGGTCAAGAAGCTCTCTGTAGAGATAATATTTCAGCCTATACTTCAGGAATGATAAGAAGTTGGTATTGTTTAGAACTGGGGAATCTGAGTTGGAGGGAGTAAACTCATTTGAGGAGGTGTAGACTACAGTATAGAGTTTGAATTGCTCAGCATCTTAGCTATGGTGTGGAAGAATTTTAAGCAAAAATGCTTACAGTTCTGGTTTGAATTTTGAACACATCACTCCGCTTGCAGCTAGTGTATCTATAAAGTATATTTATTATGTACTGAGGAAGGGAATAGAAGCAGTTAGACCTCTTGGGAGACTTACTGATGAAAAAAACACTGGACAGGTTACAGGTTTAAAATCAGTTCTTATATAACTAAATGTATCTGACAACATGTAGATACTTAGCTTCCTACTGGTACATCAAGCAAGCATAGCCCACATAAACAACAATTTAAATACTTATTTTTGTCAGAAATTGATTAATATTGTTTATATTACTTTCTTTTTCTTGTTTTTTTTCCCCTAATTTGTTTTCTCTTTATTTCCTTTTAATATGCAGGCATAATCTCGGAAAGACAAACAAGCAGAACCTCATTTTTCTTTTAAGCAAAATATACTAATTATGCTTACAATAATAGAAATCAATGGATGTAAAAAATAGTCATTAGTGCACATCAAATGTCCTTTTAACCATTGTTAAGCTTTTCCAATTTTATGTAAAAATATTATTAAATAGTACCTTATAGTACTTTATAAATGTACACAAATTACCCAAAGAAAATCAATACAACTTGATGTGCCACCTGTGTTTACAGAATCTGCTAATTTCTAATATTTTGAGAAACACTAATTGTTAAAAATAAGAAAACTCTTCTTACTGTATTTTTCATATTTATACCACGAAAGTGCTCTCCTTTTCCATTTTTTATTTTTTAAAGAGAAGCCTGAAATTCTGGTGTATATAATAAACAGTGATCGTTAAATCAGTCCTTATATCTTTATTTCTGAAAGTAAATTTCACGTCATAGAGCATTTTTTATGCCTTTGCTTGAATTTTTTCTAGAGGAATTACGTCTACATTTTCAAATTTTGCTTTTGCATTCTCATACTGCATTCTCCAGGGTAATGTTTTTAAAGCATGAATCTGATAATATTCCTCCCTTGCTTAAATCCTGCCATAATTTGCCATTGCAATTAAAATAAATTGTAAATCCCATAATAATTTTCACTTCCCCAACCTCATTTATCATTATGCTTCTCAATTAACTATGATCCAGGGATATTAGTTTGCTTCTTGCCTGTTTCTTGAACACTTTCAACCCTGATCCAGGTTCTTTGTTGACTGAATTCTTTCACTCAGACTAAAAGTGTAAAAATTCTACATTGACAGCTATCAGGAGGTTGGCCCCTCAAGAAAGATAACTTAGCTTTAAGTGTCAGCCTTTGGTGTTACATTGCTCATCTAATGCCAATAGCCCTATTTACTAGCCTTTTCCTTATTCTACAGATATGCTCATTTATAACTTTATTTGAATGACATCTTCTCAGAGGGACTTTCCCTGGCCACCCAAATAAAAAGGCACCACACTTCATGTTCTACCTACCCTAGTGCCTTGTTTTGTTTCCTTCATGTACTTATTAATATCTACATTTATATTTTTCTATTTACATTAAGATATACTTATTTCTTGTCCTACAGCAGGGAAAACTCAGTAAGCATAGAGCGTTGGTCAGCCTGATGCATTACCATATCCACAACATCAAGGATGGGGCTCAGAGAGACTTAGGTGCTTAATAAATATTTGTAGAAAGTTGAATGGAGGAAGGGAAAAAAATTCTATTTATAATCACACTGTGAAATTGGAATTGGTAATTTTTGAAAAAATATACATCTAGATCAGAAGTGTGCAAACTTTTACCTGTGGGCTAGTCATGCCTACAGCCCCATTTTGAACAATTTTTTTTTTTTTTTTTTTTTTTGAGATGGAGTGTTGCTGTGTCACCCAGGCTGGAGTGCAGTGGCATGATCTCAGCTCACTGCAACCTCCACCTCCCAGGTTCAAGCAATTTTCCTGCCTCAGCCTCCTGAGTAGCTGGGATTACAGGTTCATGCTACCACACCCGGCTAATTTTTGTATTTTTAGTAGAGGTAGTGTTTCACCATGTTGGCTAGGCTGGTCTTGAACTCCTGACCTCAAGTGATCCACTTGTCTCGGCCTCCCAAAGTGCTGGGATTACAGGTGTGAGCCACCTTACCCAATGGATTTTGTACATTCTAGAGAGCAAAGAATAATTTTTACAATTTCAAAGGTTCAAAAATAAACAATGAAGAATACAGGGGAGACAGTATGTAACTAAAAACGCTTAGAATATTTACTGTCTGGCCCATACAGAATGAGTCTGTTGACACTTTTCTTGATTAAGTCCTCATTGAACCAAAGTGTTATCTGAATAGATTTGGATTACGTTCTGCTTCAATTTCCTCCTAAGAAAAAACGGAAATTGGATTGAAAAACCATCTTAATTTCCTTCCGTTTTGACTATTGAAAGTTCTTCAGAATGGAAAAAAAATAAAATAAATGTAGTTAATCACACCTACTTTCCTCATTTTTCTAGAGGATGGGGTCAGGAATGAGAAAGTGTAAGTGTAAATAGATATGAGAATTTATAAAGGGCAATACACAAAGCAAGGCCTTTCTCCAAAACAGCTGAAGAAATACGATCACTGTTTTGCACTTCAGTGAAAGAAATACATCATCAAAAGACTACTAAAAGAAAATGAAAATCTCACTTCCTGAATCTTTGACATATACACCCAAGTTGTCAACATATAAATAATGTAATTATGAAAAAAGCCAGTGATCAATTATAATAACATTTTCATGAAGGTAAAAATCATGGATCTAGTGCCAGTCTACCTGACTTCCAATCCTGGCAGCACCAGTTGCTAGATATTTGTCTCTGAGCATGCTTATTGTCTCTGTATCTCCACTTTATTCACCTTTGAATTACTAATAATAGAGTTTCTACCATAGAGAAATGTCAGAGGGTGAAATGAGTTAATATGTTTAAACTGCTTAGACAATGATTGGCACAGCATATGTACTATGATATATCGGTTAAATAAAAGAATTTCAGTGCAGCTTTATCCCATTTTTTTCATATTCATTAGGTAATAAATCGCCTGGTAAATAAAACAGTGCTACAGTCAGATTTTCTCATATTTCTGTGACGTACATGCTTAATGGAGGTTGCATAAGAATTAACCTTATATTGAATTCCACAACTCATTCATTGTGTGAGATGATGTATTTGTTTTCAAATTATTTTATCATTGTTAGAAAGAAAAGCTCTGCCTTTTCATTCCTATAAATATCAAAGTGAAAATTTAATTTTACTTTCAAAATGATTTTATTTTAATACATGAAAATAAAAGAGAATAAGCAGGCACCTATTGGTCACAATTGCTCTTTAAGCTACAGGAAGCATTTAAGCTACAGGAAGCATTTAAGCTTCCTGGAAGCCATTTACCTACATTTAACCATTTAAGCTACAGGAAGCATGACAAAGAACAGATCCATAAAATATGCACAAGGGAGAACATTTCTAATATTATAAATAATAATATGCTCCAAATGCTGTTTCTTCTTCTTCTTTGTTGTTGTGATTGCTATGTTCTTAAATCTTTATCTGGCTTTAAACAATAAAATTGTAAAATGAAGCAACAGAACAGTCTATCTAGACGCACTCCCTTTTCATTCCTATTCCTAAACCTATTAGCCTAACTCTGCAGTCTGATGATGCCAAATTTAATCTCTAAACTGGAGTCCCCATTTTTACCTGTATGTCCAACTTTCTTTATGACCTCTCAAATTTAACAACTCCAGAACCAAATTCTTAAATTTCTCCCTGAACTCTTTTTTTAGTTTTGCACATAATACTCCCTAGTGGAACATTCTTTCAGTTTCTTAAAACGAACACTCTAAATGCCATTGTAGAGAAGCCCCAGAACTCTGTTATTGAGAATTAGACAGTGGAACCTGACTGCCTGGATTGGAATCCATGAGCTGTCAAGTATAAGCATCTGACTGGGGCAAGATACCGTCCCTCTACATATCTTAATTTCGTCATCTGTAAAATGAGAAAAATAATGAGTTCTACCATTATTTTCTAATACTATATTTTCTTTATAAAATTAAATTAGATAATACAAGTAAAACAAAACAGTGATAGGTTCATCACTGTTTGTTAAATTTATATCTCTTGATTCATTTCCTTCCCTCATAGCCCACTTCATACCCATAACCAAATCCTGTTGGAAGTACCTTCAAGATACCACAGAATCTCACAATTTTTATAACATCCTGTGCCATTTTATTGTCAAGCAATAGCCTTTTACCCAGGCTTTTGCTTCCACCCTTAATCTGATTAGTCTCCTCTGCTCAAAACTTTCCAATGGTTTCCATATTTATTTTGAATAAAATCTGCAGTCATTATAATGCTAACGGAAAACTACAGAGCTAGGTTCCAATTGCCCCTGTGATCATATCTTCTACTGTACCCTCCTCTAGCTCATTCAGCTTCAGATGCATGGACCTCCTCCTGGCACACTGATGCCTCAAGGCTCTTTCCCTTGCCCTTTCCTTTACCTTTATTTACAAGACCCATTGTGTGTCCATCTCCTTAAGTGATTATTCAAAAGCCTCTTCTCAACGAGGTCTCCATGACTCCTTTTAAAAATTACACCACACACAGACAGACACACACACACACACCCTATGCACCTTACTTGCCTTGTTCTTCTCAGTGACATTCATTACTATCTGATACACTACATATTTCAATTATATATTTGATAGTGTCCATATAATCCAATTAGAATATAAGCATCATGAAGGCAGTGAGTTTTGGTTGGCGTTTTTGTTATTGTTGGATTCATTTCCTGCTCTATTTACAATGCCTTGCAAAAATTAGGTACTTAAAATATATATGACAAATAAATGAATGAATTAATAGTCAACAGGCAACCTGTAGGTTTATTCAATCATAATATATGTATTTACTACATATACTTTACTCTCTCTCTCTCTCTATATATATATGTATATAATTACTACCCAGTAGGCCCTAGGACTTGCTTTCACATACCTCACAATGTACCCCTGAGAGAAAATAGTAAAACATGCTAACATATTTCCACAAATGTCAGATAGTAGATTTTAGTATTTGATCCATATTAGTTGTGCTAAAGCACATAGAAAATAAATGAAAAAAATATTTTATATTTTGCACACACACATTTACATATATTTGTGTATGTGGACCTCTTTCAGAGATGCATATACATTTTTATATGATAACAAATGATCTTTGGCTTCCAAGTTTCTTTCTCCTCTCTTTATTGTTTTGTTGTTTTTTTCTTGTTTTATCCATTGACACCACTGACATTTCTCCTACTGCCACCCCCCTACCCCGCCACCACATAACCCTCTGCAACAAGTTAAGTGAATATTTATTGCTGTTATAAGAAGACTCAGGACAAAAGAAAGTCAAAAATTTGCTCCTTTAGAGGTTACAGGTGGTGAAAAGCAGGTCTATTTCACTTTTATGTGTTGTTCTATGAGAATAGATAGAAATTATGAGTGATCAGAGATTGCTATAAGAAGATGGAAGTACATTGTTAGAAACTAATTGTTACCCAGGGGTTCCAGGTACCAAAACCTAAAATGCTCAGAGATTATATATTTCAGATTCATTGGGGCAATATAAGCAGCATCTGTCTCTCTGTTACACAATGAAATTTCAACTTTGTTAAATAACTGGAGTTCATATCATTCTCAGGAGATGTCTGAGCTATTCATCAAGGAAGCTGAAATCATCAGAATAAAAAGAACAATTATGATAAGGTGAAACAGAAAAAGAAATTCAGACAGGAAAAAAATCAAATTAAAATGGTTGAACATAAAAATATAATATCAGGAAATTCACATCCCTAAATCAGGAAGATTTTACGTAGATGTAGCCAAGCTCTTCAATGGCACAACAGTGGGCCATGAAATCTGACAGAAGACAGGTACCAAGTTCAGAGGCATGATTCTAAAGCACATTCCTTATATTTTCCTATGTCTTGAGGAAACATTAAGGTGGTTACTGAATGACCTATGTAGTGATTCTTAAGTCATAGAAATGTACATTGCTATTGTCACTAGAAATAAGATTTTAAAATGCAGGAACTATGAAATCTCTGATTATTAAATAATATAATAAATGTTAATAAAATAAAATGATAAATATATTACTTAATAATATAAAAATAATAATTTATATTATTATATAATATAAAAATGACTTTTTAACACCGTTTGTCTAAGCACACACACTATAAAAATATTAAGAAAAAATATTTTACCATTATTAAAAGTAATGCTCCCTTATTTTCTTTGTTCTTGCCCATATACATACACTTATATAGTTAACATACACGTGTCTGGGTGCACCCATTGATACATACATATACAGTGGTGTGTATAATGTGACAGATAATATGTATTATCTATAGAGAATACATACATCCACTATCATATCAAAATTATTTAAGGAGTAAAAGTCCGCATGGCTTTATTTTAGGACAATGTTCCTCTTAGTTGACAAGTTAGGGAGAAAAAGGCATAGTAGAATTCCAACTTTTATTTTCACCTCCAACCAGGGAACAAGAACCGATATTTACTGAGTACCTACTATCTATCAAGCCTGTAGCTATTTTACCTGATTTTATCAATCAGGGTCCAATCAAGAAAGCAAAAGAAACATCAGATATTTTAAGAGAACTATTAATGTAAAAAGGTTAAACTAGTGTTGGAGAACTGGAAAAGAAAAATGAACACAGGTTAACACAGTCATAGCAAGTTTAAGAACCAAATATCACCCCTAAAGCTGGAATAATTTAAGATTATTAGAAACTAGAAACTGGGAGGTATCCCATGGATCTGTGGCTCTTACCTCTGGGGGGATGGCGATGGCATTGTCCAGCTGGTGCCGAGAATACGAAAAAAGCTAGAATCGGAATTAGTAAAAAGTTGAAGGGATATTGCAGAGGCAATGTTGACAAGCATAACAAACAAACAGGGCATGTCTTTTCTTTTTCATCTTTCCATCTCTTTCTATGTCTCCCTGTCGGTAGAACATCGCAAGGAACCAGCTGTCAAATGAGAAACTGAAGTTTCCATAGTCCAAATACCAGAAACACAAAACGGAGTTTAGAAAGCCAAGTTCAGGCCAGGCGCGGTGGCTCATGCCAATAATCCAAGCACTTTGGGGGACCGAGGCGGATCACTTGGTGTCAGGAGTTTGAAACCAGCCTTGCCAACCTGGTGAAACCCTATCTCTACTAAAAATATAAAAATTAGCCGGGCATGATGGCGGACGCCTGTAGTCCCAGCTTCTCGGGAAGCTGAGGCAGGAGAATCACGTGAACCCGGGAGGCGGAGCTTGCAGTGAGCTGAGATCGCGCCACTGCACTCCAGCGTGGGTGATAGAGCAAGACTCCATCTCAAAAAAAATAAAAAAAAATAAAAAAGCAAGCCAAGTTAAGAGTGAAAGTCAATAGCTTAATAACTGGCATACTGATTAAGTATGCAATTTTAACTTGCAGGTGTTTGAAGATTCACTTACGTTGTTACTTCTCCAGTAATGGCTACTAGCAATGTTCCATCAATCCTCCCAGCTTTACCAGCTTTACCACTGGGTAGCTGAGTTCCTTAATGGCATCTCAGTTTAGTTCTATACATTTCAGGTAGTTAAGATTATTGAAACAGATACTTTTAGATCTTACAAAATTGTCATTTTGTTTCATATTTCAAATTTTCATTTTTTTCAAAGCTTTCCTTTCTCAGCATCAATTCCCCACAACCCACCAGTGCAAACTAAACAGAGGGAGAGCAGCCTGGAGCATGATGGGAGTCAAAATCTGCTCCTTCTCATGCCCTCCTTTCTCCCTGTGGTTCCCATTCAGATTGTGGAAGGGAAGCTCTTGAGCGAAAACAAACATCATCTCCTTCTTTGGCTCTCTGTAATAAATCTGAGGTCTGCTCCTTGTTGACTCATAATGACTCTTCTATGGCTTCATTCTGTATGGCTTCAGTGAACTGTTGGTGGACTGATGATCATAAGAGAGCCCTGATAATAAAAGCTGAATCCTTACTCTTCTAACCAGGTATTACTGGCTCATCGACAGTTTAAACAAATGTCTGACCACTCCAGTGGGAAGTGCCACGTCAAATTAAGTGGCAAATTCAGAGACACCTGTGTTTTAGCTCTCTGCTTGTTTTGTCACCCATAAACCTATAGTTACTCCCCTTTATGACCTACAACCCTGAATCCTGTGGAGGAGAGATGGATCGATTATTTGTGACTTTTCGTGATTGGGGTTTGGTGGTAGGTGCTCTTGCTCTCCTTTCTCCTGGCCACCTGCCTGCCAAGTCTTCTCCACATTTTTGTTCATATCTGGAAGCTTATTTGGTAAATAAGCAAACATTCAACCAGGGAGTAAAGATCTGACTCCTTGTGCAGTCTGTTACAGACTTCATGATATCTTCTCTTGATATTTTGACCCCTTATAGTAGGAAATGTGAGGGAATTGCTTCTTTTTATCAACTGTGCCCCACCCAAAGGCTGTCCCTAGCCCTTTATGATTTTTTTAAAATTTCTCCTAATGCTATCCCTCCTCTAGACCCCCCCACCCCCTGACAGGCCCCAATGTGTGATGTTCCCCTCCCTGTGTCCACCATGTGTTCTCATTGTTCAACTCTCACTTATGAGTGAGAACCTGTGGTGTTTGCTTTCTGTTCCTGTGTTAGTTTGCTGAGAATGATGGTTTCCAGCTTCATCCATGTCCCTGCAAAGGACATGAATTCATCCTTTTTTATGGCTGCATAGTATTCCATGGTGTATATGTGCCACATTTTCTTTATCCAGTCTATCATTGATGAGCATTTGGGTTGGCTCCATGTCTTTGCTATTGTGAATAGTGCTGAAATAAATATACATGCACATAAGTCTTTATAGTAGAATGATTTATAATCCTTTGGGTATATACCTAGTAATGGGATTGCTGGGTCAAATGGTATTTCTGGTTCTAGATCCTTGAGGAATCGCCACATTGTCTTCCACAATGGTTGAACTAATTTACACTCCCACCCACAGTGTAAAAACGTTCCTATTTCTCCACATCTTCTCCAGTATCTGTTTTTTCCTGACTTTTTAATGATCGCCATCCTTTGTACACTTGTTTTCATTCAGGTGATGACAGAGGTGGTGGCAGGGTTGTTTCTGTTGAGGTGATGCTCCAAGATTATCTTTGGGACTTTAGCTAGCTCTAATAGCTGATAGTTTCCCAAACTCACAACACTGGGTCCTTCACACATTGTGTTCTCAATTGTGGATCTCACCCAATACAACTTTGTATATATAAACTTAGTTATCACAGCAATGTATGAAGTACTCTTATTGTTCCATTCTAAAAATGAGAAAATTGATGGTCAGTCTTAGTAAATGATAGTTGTATATTTACAACAAAGTCATGTCCAATCAAGCTCAAGCTCTTTTTACTTAATCGGGGGGTATCTGGAAAAACTGTCTCAGTCTTCAGAACATCTAAGGGACCTATATTTGAACAGGTTGGAAGGGGTTCTAAATGAGATTATGTCTACTGTATAAAATTCGTCCTAAAGGATTAACGGAAATGGTAAGTAGTAATGCATCAGTCAATAGTATCTGAAAAAAATGAGCACATTATTGAGCATGGATTTTAATTTTGGCTTTTTTTTTTTAAAGATTTTCATTCTTGAGCTGACTAGTTTATCTTTTTGTGCTCAAGTTCCTCACTTATAAATTGGAAAAAATAATAGTTTTTATTTCATAGGACTATTATGAAAATTAAATTGGTTATATGTTAGTTTTTACAATGTTGCTGGGCTCAGAATAAGCACTCAAATAATGCTATTATTATTATTATAATCAGTCCATTTATGCACAGAAATCTTACACTATTTGGGCATACAGATGGAGGCCAGAGAATTCTTGACGCAGACTTCTTTGGTTCTGTCTCTAAAAACCTGCAACATTCTGTGAGCTGAGAAAAGAGTATCATCCCTCTATTTGGATTAAATGGAAGAATGACAGAAGCATATGTCATCTATACCACTGTCAATCATGTTTGCGTCTGTATATATTTTCTTTTGTTCTGTTTAAGACTTTGGGTCAGTTTTAGGGACACTGCTTCAGTCTGTTTCTGTTACCTTGTTTGGTATAAATGCAGGTTGCTATGCTCTTATTTCACAGCTACTATCTCCACAATTTCAGCCCTTGCTTTCAAAGAAATTTTTGCAAGACTGCCAGTTGGAATAAGTAATTAACACTTCAGCTCAGCTCTGAAAGGGGAAAACAACTGTGGCATACAAACTCCTGCCAAAGTCAGTTCTCTCACCCAGAAACTGCCTGAAATACTCATCAGGGTACTTTCAATTTTGCTAAAAGAGAAAAGAAAAAAGGCAAAATGATCAAAATGGAAGTTCACCGTCTTATCCCTATCAACTGTTAGACAAAATTAAGATGGAGAAAATGAGTGCACCGAAGCAGCATGTGTCAACATGGAAGGATTTCGCTGACGTTGTATTGAGTGAAAAATAGAAAGTTACAAAAGCATATGAGCAATATAATAAAACTCATTTCAAGGATTAAGAACAACCAAAACCATAGTCTGTGTTGTTTTGTGATAAATATGTAATAACTTTTGAAAACACCTATGGGACTGATGCATACCAAATTTCAGATAAGTGGGAAGAGAGGGATAATGTGGATAAGGAGAGATACAGAAACACTGGGGAATTTGACTTTAACTTTATTTTTTAATCCGGGTACCGTGATTATAATTGTTACATTATTTTCTATAACTTGGACATACTTGTCTATTTCAAAATAACTAAATAAAAGCCAAGGTCACCCTCATTAAATAACTTTCATAAACACTAACTCTGAAGGAAGGACTGCTGCAATGAGTCAACATATGTCTGAACAAACTTTCAAATTATTCTAAGGAACACTAGGGATGTTTCGGTTAACATTTATCCCTTCTGTGTGAATAACTATTTAAGTTTCTCCCTCACTTCTGTTTTTTACCTCCATCATCATCCTTCTTGAGACTTGGGTAGAGAAGAGAAATAGATCCCATTCTTATCTATGAATCTGTTTTAAGGTGGGAAGTACCAGGAACAATAGTGTTTGAATTTGCTGTTAAGAAGTAGACAGGCTTCCTCTTTCATCTCTAGTACAGGATTTTGCTGTTTCAAAATATTACTGATGTATTACTTGGGGTTCTCTAGAGAAACAGAACCAATAGGATGCATATACGTATGTAGAAATAGATTTATTATTAGAAATTTGATCACACGATTTTGGAGGCTGAGAAGTCCCAGGATTTGCAGTCAGCAAGTTGGAGACCCAGGAGGAAGGCCTGAGTGCCAAGAGGACTCACAATGTAGTTTTAGTCTAAAGTCAGCAGCCTCAAAACACGAGAAAAGCCAGTACTTCAGTTCAAGTCTGAAGGTCAGGTGTCGCAGCTCAAAGCAGTCAGAGTGAAGGAGTTCCTTCTTTTTTATGGGAAGACCAACATTTTTGTTCTTGTCAAGGTTTCAGCTGATTGGACAAGGGCTACTCATGCTGGAAAGTCAATGTTCTACTCTGTCTTCAGATTTAAATGTTAATATCATCCAAAAACTTCCTCACAGACACACCTAAAGTAATGTTTGACCATATCCAGATACCCTGTGGTCCAGTCAAGTTGACAAGTAAAATTTACCATCACCACTACTGATAAATCCTTTTATCTTTCTGTTATCTCTCAATTAGAAACAATATTTGCAGAGGAAATACAAGTCAAACCCAACTCTGGTTCTTCATTTTACTGACACTACAAATACATCCTGAAAATGTAACCTAAATATCTTCTTTATCTTGTGTAATTGAAGTCTGCCTACCAGTGCTAATATTGCCCTCTCAAAGTCCTTGACTTCTAGATATAATGATATTTAACAAATAGGTAATTATTCTTGGCATGCATTATTACAGTACTGTATAGTTACAAAAAAGAAAAACAGGTTAGAAGAATGTATATTGTTCACAAAGATCGAGCCAATCAATGATTAACACTACACCTCACCTCAAAACAATAATGGCAACGCCATGATAAAGCTATTTATTGTTTGTTTATGGAGAAAATAAATTATATGAATGTTAACTATACTTTTTTACTTCCTTGACATCTACCACAAAATAGTCATCAGAATATTCAAGTTTCTTTTAATAAACTATTTAAAAATTTTTAAGTTCTTGCATCTTCTATGTCATGTTTTGAATTTGAAACCCAGATTTCTCTTTGAAAAGAAAGTATGATTATAATGACAGCAACCAATATTCTAATGACATTTTGAAAACACGTTGATATATAGCATATTTACCAACTTTGGCTTTTTTTTTTTTTTTTTTTTTTTTTTGAGACAAGGTTTTGTTCTATCACCCAGGCTGGAGTGCAGTGGCACGATCTCTGCTCACTGCAGCCTCAACCTCCCAGACTCAAGCAATCCTCCCAGCTCCACCTCCCAGGTAGCTGGGACTGTAGCTGCGCACCAACACACCTGGCTAATTTTTGCATGTTTTTGTAAAGACGGGATTTTGCCATGTTGCCCGGGCTGGTCTCAAACTCCTGGGCTCAGGAGATCTGCCTCCCTCAGCCTCCCAAAATGCTGGGGTTACATGTATAAGTCACCACACCCAGACCGTTTTTTTTAGTATTTAATACAAATGTGAGGGAATATTTTAGAGCTGATCAGACTCATTTTGTTTCTTTCTTTGATCAATTATATTTGACTTGTTATGTCAAACAATAATACCAAGCACATACGTAAGTAATGACTGTTAGGCACTGAATATATCCTAAGTTCCTATACCATAATTTTTCGTAGTAAAAATATATTGCTTTGCAATGAGAGTATTATTTCTTTCTACAGAATGGTAAGCCAGCCACAAGATACAAGAAGCATTTTTTTAGCTTTTTATTGTTTAGTGCAAAAAATGCCAAATAAGCAATGAAATGTTCATTTAATTTTATATTTGAAATGTAGTTTTCATACAATGTGATGGGTAAATATTTAGTGTATAGTTAGATAAACTTGGCAAATGTGTACATTTTTATAACTCATACCTGTATCAAAATAATTTTTATCACCTCAGAAAGTTTCTTTGTGTTGCCTTCTAGAAAGTATTCCATTTTTTGTCTGACTTCTCTCACTCAAGTGACTATGAGCTACGTCTTTGTTGTTGCAGAGTGTTGGTAGTTTGGTATTTGAATTGTAGAATATTATTCCATGAATGGGTCTACACTACAATAGGTGCTTACCCATTCTCCTGTCAATAGATATCTGAATTCTTACCAGGTTAGGACAATTATGAATAAAATTACCATAAATATTATAGCACAATGCTTTTTATAAGCACATGTTTTCACTTATTTTAGGTAAGTACATAGGAATGAAATTGCTTGTCATAGAATGGATCTTTGTTTAACTTTGTCCAAAAAAATATTGACACTTTATTTTTTCAAAATAGTTGTGCCATTTTACATTCTACCACAGTGTGTCTGAGATTTCTAGTGGCTCCACATCATTGACCATGTTGAATGGTTCTTTTTTTCTTTAGTATTCTAAAGGATGCTATTTCATTGCACTTTTAAGTAATGCCTCCTTAAAGACTAATGATGAAAACCTTTTCATGTGTTTATTAGCCATTTACATTTTATTTCCTTTTGTAAAATATCAGTTCAAGTTTAAATGATGATGTAGAAATAACTATTTCTTTATGGAAAAAGACAAACTGCCTGCCTAAGTCACAAATATATTCTATGTTTTCTTCCAGAAGGTTGACAGTTTTTTGTGGTTTTTTTTTTTTTTTTTTTTTTTTTTTTTGGCATTTAGCTTTAATGTTTACATGTTGAATGTTAAGTCTTGAATTCAAAATCATCCATCTAGAATCAATTTGTGTATTGTGTAAGTTAGGGATCAAAGTTTTGATTTGTTTTGTTTTGCATACAGATATTCATTTATTCCAACAACACTTGTTGAAGATAGTTTTCTTCACACATTGGATTATTTTAATATCCTTGAAACAAATCATCACATGTGTGCAAACCTATTTTTGAACTATCTATTCTTTTCCATTGATCTGTCTATCTTTATGCTCACAAAATACTGTCCTATTTACTGTAACTTAATAGTAAAACTTGAAGTCAGAAAGAGGAAGTTTCTATTTTGTTTTACTTTTTCAAGATTGTTTTGGTTATAATAGAGCTTTTGTGTTTCTAAATAAATGTTAGAATTAGTTCACTATTAACTATAAGAAAAAATTTGAGATTTTGTTTGGAATTATACTGAATTGATAGAGCATTTGGGGGAACATGTAACTCTTTTGAGTCTTTTAATTCATGAATGTTGTATATCTCTCAGTTATTTGGGGACTTTTAAAAATTTTATCTCAGTCATATTTTTAAAAATTTTACTTAAAATCTTGAAAAAACTTTCACTAAATATAATCTCAAATGCCTTACGTATTTGAATGCTATCTTAAGTGGTATCCTTTACATCTTATTTTCCAAATTTTTATTGCTAGCATATAGATATATAATTGATTTTGATTCTATAACATTTCTAAATTTACTTATAAAATTACTTGGATCTGTTAGAGTTTTATTTTTCCTATAGCAATTTTAGAATTCTCTGCTTTAGGCATTCTAAAGCAGAAATTTTTCAGTTGTGAATAATAAAATTTTATATTTCTGTCTTTTAAATCACTAGATCTTTTATTTCTTTTTCTTATATCTAGTATATTTGGAAATGTGAATGTTACAAGTATGACCCTTTTTCTTTGCAATAGATCTCCCTGGGCAATCTTATTCATTTTTATAGTTTCAACTGCAATTTATATCCTAGTTCAAACTCTGATTTTGAGCTTTAGAAACATATTTCTGACTACTTATCACTAATCACCATCTGTACATGTCACAGCCATCTCAAATTCAACATCCCAACTAAATTAACTTTCAACTCCCCAAGAACCCCTTATTTCCTTGTATTTAAGTCAATGTCATGAGAATAACTCCAAGCTAAATTCTTGAAATCAGTTTCAATTTCATACTTTACTAACACTGTGATCCTTCACACAGACACTCTCATTCAGACATGGACACAAACTGTTTTTGTTTGTTTGTTTCTCTGTTTTGTTTTGTTTTGTTTTCTTTTTTGAAACAGGGTCTCACTCTTTCGCCCAGGCTGGAGTACAGCGGCGTGATCCCAGCTCACTGCAACCTCAGCCTTCCAAGTTCAAGTGAGTCTTGTGCCTCAGTCACCCAAGTAGCTGAACCTACAGGCGCCCACCACCACGCTCGGCTAATTTTTGTATTTTTAGTAGAGATGGTGTTTCACCACGTTGGCCAGGCTGGTCTCAAACTCCTGAGCTCAAATGATCCGCCCACCTCAGCCACCCAAATTGTTGGGATTACAGGCATGAGCCACCGTGCCTGGCCAGACAACTGTTTAGTAAACCCTCTTTCACCTAGTTCTTGATAATCTTCTATATGCTTTTTACTGCCTATTTTCAATGCTCTTGACATGATGTACTTCATTTCCTTGGACTATTGACTGCAAGTAGATTTGCCTCTCAAACCACTCTCTACATTATAGCGATTATAAATGCTGATTTTAAAATATAAATCAGATGATGTGGTTTTCTTTGTAGAAGACCTTTAGTGAACCCCTTTTGTATAGAATAAAATTCAAATAACTATGCACATGTATGTTTGCAAAGATAACAGATACATTTATGGGACAAATTTAAAAGTTCTTGTGGGTTTGGATGTTTTGTAGGACAAGGCACTGCATATCTTCTGCTTGCCCCTCTGGATCAGTCTTGACCATCTTCCAGCAGGTTTTAAGCACTGGAAGTGAACGATTATGGTCATTAGACCCTTTGTCCGTTGGTTTCCTGTTGAGCTTGTGTCCCAGTTCATTGAGGCTGCTATAACAAACTACCATAAATTGGGCAGCTTATAAACAACAGTAACTTATTACTCCCAATTCTCAAGGGTGGGAACACCAAGACAAGGCACTGGCAGGTTCAATGTCTGATGAAGGCCCACTTCCTAGACATCAGTCTTCACTGTCATCTCACAAGGCAGAGGGGGCTAGCTAGTTCCCTGCCATCTCTTTGATAGAGGCACTCATCCCATTCACAAAGGCTTTACTCTCATAACTTATTCTTCTCCCAGTGGTCCAGTGTCCTAATACCAACACCTTGGGTTTTAGCTTTCAACTTTTAACTTTTGGTACGACACAGACATTCAGACCACAACAATTTAGCTAGTGAGTAGAAGGGTAGCACTGTTAATAGGTATGTGGTAGGATGTAGGGTGAGTTGGGCTATGCATTCCCCATCTTCATCCTTCGGCCTGACTCTTCCCCTCACCTTAAGGCCCCTGCCATGCGTATCTCTACATCTCATTTGTCTTGGAGTGCAACACTTTTTATATGGGCTGCCTCTATCCATCCCTTGCACTTTTACATACATTATTTCTCTATTGGGTGCTTTTCAAATTATTCAATTTGGGTGGGCTATTTGTTTCCATCTATGACTATGACATATGTGAAAGTAAAGGAAAGGATATGGAAAGGAGTTGAAGATTTCAAGGGTTTGCTTTTTTGTTTGTTTTTAACATAAAATAGAATATTGGTTTCTCCCTGTATAAAGACATGAAAAAATTCAGTATCAGGTCTGGTCCAGAATTGATGGTGTTTCACTTCTTAACATCTATCTACATACCTAGATTTATCTCATCTCCCTTTCTCACCTCTACCTCAGGTTCCAACCATAGCAGGCTAAATGTAGCCATATTTTTTGCTTGCACAACATTTTATCCATAAGGTTCCCTCTGTCTTATACCTTCTCCAAATAGTCTACTTAAAGTCTGTTTAAATGACACCCTGGCCTTCTGACACTGGCCATATTTACCTTTTCTCTCTATTTCATAGCAAATTAAACATAATACTTCTACCACTGTTTTTCTATAATTCAGCCTCTACAACAATTAGCCAAACTAGATGGGACTTTGTATTCAAGAAAAAGACAAACATAATTTTGTGTATGTATAAAACCAGTACTTAACTAAATTGTATAACCAGTACTTAACAAAATTCTTAACATGTAACAGTCTTTAAGTAAAGATTGATTGACTATTTCTATGGGTAAGTAAATATATACATGGGTGCATGCAATACAGTTTAGAAATATTTTGTGGGCCGTGAATTACTAAGTTGGTCATTGATTTGGAAAAACTTGACAAGCAATGTCAAACATCTCTACCTGCTTAGTTTAGTACAGATGCCTTAGTTGAAATAGATATACACATGGGAAAGTACTAAATTTTTTAATTTAAAAATAAAAAAGGAAATAGATTTAAAGAACACTTAAGGGAAGTACACCATAGTACTGGTGAACTATAAGATGGTGCATTTTCATAAAGGTCAGAAATGCACCAATACCCAAGGATGATACAATGATTAAAATGGCATAAGTGGCAAGGATGAAAAGTGAAATCAGATTCCCAACTGATTGTGTTCAATGAAGCTTTCATGTCACTCCAGTTCCTGGGACAGATGCCAACTTAGTTCATTTTATTCAGTATCCTTAAATTACTTCTAAAATTTAGAGTCAAACACTATTTTGCTTGAATTGTTAGCTTATACTTTAGGCAGTAGGTTACATGTCTCATGAGCTCTATCAGTGCCCATTTTCCCGAAGACGATAACAGAAAAATGTAGAGTAAAGAAAAATAATTTTATATGAGATTACACAAAGACTGTAATATTCAGAAAAAGAAGCTTTGTCATCGTACTATAACATCCTATTATATAAATCCTAAATGAGCCTTTTGTTCTGATTTTGTTGTTGTTACTATTGAAAGTCTATTTCAAGTAAAGTAACTTCAGTTACAAAACTACATTTGAATAAATGCACTTTTCACTGACCTGCATAACCTAAAGTGATCGGAAGAAATATATAAATGTCAACCAAAATTGTGAATTATATACAAACTCAAAGATACAGCTAAAATCTTTCACAAACCACAAATTACATGATATAATTATCAATCACATTATGACAAGAGATGTATAGATTCATGATTTTTATAGTTGAAAATTATAATGTTATATATTTTATAATATAAATTGTGCTTCAATAATATCTAAAAGGAGCAAGAACCTTGAGTTAAACATTCCTAGTGACAGAGAAAGTATTACTTCATTTTAACCCAGCCAATTATTAGAAGTTCTTCCTTATTATTATGGCAACAATTGTCTTTCTGTAAGTACTACCCACTGCTCCCTTCGTGGAATTCTACAGCAAATCTTATTTTTCAGACATATAATAAAGCTTCAAATATTTGAAGATAGATGCCTCTTTCTAAATTTTCCAGAGAAACATCCTGAATTGCGTAACTATATATTTTGGTTTGGAGATGGTCGCCATTCTGACCACCATCGACAGGGCTTATTAAGTCAACAATCTTGTTTTTAAAAAATATATGTAGGTGCTGAAGTGATTGTAACTTTCTCAGGTTCCATGTTTTATGACTTGTCTAGTATAAAGATGTAAAATAACATCAGTAAACAGAACTTAACCACATCATCATTTTTAGTCTGGTTATTATATTCTATCTAATTATTCAATAATATATCTATTATATATAAGAAACCACATAGTAATTTGAACAAGGAAAGTTTAATATAAAGAATGATTAACTGTAACAGGTGGTTGGAATAAGGGGATATTGCTTAGTAAGGCGTAGAGAGTAGTAAAGAGAACTGCAAAGAACATAAGAGCACAGAGAGAAAGTACAGCCACTACTTTCTGGACTGGGCTGGAACATGCGAGGCAAACTTGCTCCTTCTCCAGGACTTAGACCCAGCCTTTGTAGAGGAGGACATGGCCATGGCTACTGAATATCACAAAGGTGTCTGTAGTTCTCTGATGGCAGAACTGGCAGGAAATCTGCTCTCCAGGGTGCCAGAAAAAGCTACTCATGGGAGCATATCTCACTGGTGGCACTTTACTCCAAACCACTTTACTCCAAAACTACCCAAGAAAGAGTGCCAGAGGAATCTGCTGGCCTCTGAGTTCTGTAAACTGTGTACTGAAGAATTTGGATGATGGCACAGTTGCTTGCATTGTGGGATCCCAGACCTAGAGAAAGGATACAGGTCCTGGAGAAATTGCCTGTTCTGCAAGAACACAAGAAAGCCACATATGCTGCCAGTGTGGAGCACTGGACAAGGCATGCATTTCACTGAAGGCACCAGAAAACCCCCCTGGTGCCAAGGGGAGCACACTAGAACCTGGAGAGAAGGTCCAGCAGTGTCGTTACATCATCGTTTTTTGACAAAGGTTAATATCTAGCCATATGGCAAATACATATGTGCGTGCATCTATGTATGTATATTTAGAGGCCTACCCCCACTTTTGCAGAACTGCCAGTGTAACTTGGATTTGGAGGTAAGAAGTGATGAATTGATAATTAGCGCTACTCAGCATATCATGCTGTAATCTATTCAATTGTTTACAGAGAGAATTTCTGTCTTGGGTTAGCTTTCTAATAGTTCTAACATTAACTTTAACAAACTAAAGTGAGAATTAATCTCTACACTTGGCCACAAATATATACGGGAGTCCTAATTGCAGATACATTTAAGAAAAATATGATAATCTGAGTTTACAAAATAGAAAAAAAGTTATGGTAAATTTTAGATCCATTTCCACATACATGTGTATATGATATATTATGTAAGTAAATAATACTTACAATATGACCTATTTTGCTTATTTGGAAAATTTAAGCATCAGTCAGTTTTTGACATTTAATTTGCACATTGATTTTCCAAACTATAACTCATGTATTGATCATAGAAATAAAATTTTATTCATCATTATATTCCAAAAGTCTAAATCATCACATACCATAAAATTAATAATAAGCTAACAATGAATGAATAAGTAAATGCATGAATATAATTATATAAATATGAAGATCCTTTCTTCATAGGGAAAATCCATCCATACAGAGAAACATCCTTTTCGGGGTTTTTCTGTACCTTTGTCTCTCAATCTCTATCTTCTAACTTACTGCCTTTCTCTCTCATTTTCTGTGTGTCTGTGTGTCTGTATGAATATATGTGGATATGATAGCAGCAGGAGGCAGACAAATTCTGGGCAGACAAGGGCTGTTCTTTGGTGATACCTGACCTTCAAGCCAAAGACAGTGTTAAGCCTGAAAACCAAGCTACAAATCTCAGATAAATCCATTGACTGGATTGAGAAGCTCTCTTCCAGTTTGGAGCACTTTCCTCAGATTGATTCCTACCCTTCACCTATTCTACACATACCTACCTGTCCCTAATTGGTTTTTTGCACTGTTGTGTCTATCTTTGAGTGGTGCATTTTTTTTAGCTTTTTTTGCATACTCACAAACCAATCAGCATGCACTCACCTGTTCTCAGCCCATAAAAACCCCCAGACTCAGTCACATGTTGAGCTATTTGCTTTCAGGTCTCCTCTCATTGTCAAGAGCTCTTCTGTCACTCAATAAACTTCTTCTCCACCTCGATCACTCTTTGGTTTTCTGCATAACTTCATTTTTCTTGGATGTGGGACAAGAACCTGGGACCCTCCAAATGAGGGTATGAAAAAAACTGTAACACTGTAGCCCTTTGTCATCCGCCAGTGCCAGGCAGCCATGCCAGTCCAGGGCAACAGAAACAAACGAAAAGAGGCTCCACCAGCCACAGAAGTTTCCAGCTGTCGAAGTGGCACCAAAAAATCCTATGTCAGATATATTATATAGAGAGAAATACAAATGTATATATGTTATATATACATGTATGTACCATATATAATCAGAATGAAAATACATAAAGAAAACTAAGCACCTACCTTTACATTTATATTAAATATAAATTTATTAATTTTAATATTATTTTATCATTTTATATTTGTGTATGTATTTAAATACATCTATATTTTAAATGTCAGTCTAAGAAAAAAATGTCCTTTTTTAGAGATTTATATTTCCTAATTAAAACATTTTCCAGGAGCAAGAGAATATATGTGTATATCATAGATCAAAATGATCTTACATGATTTTTGCATTTTCAAATTGAATTATCTTTTCCAGTGGAGATTTTGATTCAACTTCCTCTGCAGTCTCCAACGCTGGCAATTTTACTAAATAATTGGCCGTAGAGGGTTATATCCCTCAATTGTCTTACACACACACAAACATGTATACACACCTTTAAAAAAAACACTTGTATTTAGTAACCAACTCTATGTTGATGAATTTTCATCCTGCACTATTTGTTTTTACCTAATTAAAAAGAATTATGAGCACAAATGTTCACTTTATACTACTGCATACAAGGAAAGCATGGTTATTATCAACTATAGCCAGTATGTTTTTCTGATAATAAAAATTTAAATGTATGTAGATGTTATTCAGAATAATATAATAATTATTATCCATGTTATACAGAATTATACATTATTCAGAATAATCCAATATTATGATCCAGAATAAAACAATATTATTAGGAATAATACAGCCCAGAACAATACATGCTATTCAGAATAATGTTGTTATTCAGAATAATACAATTATAGTTTAGAATGTGTGTGTACACACACACATATATGTGTATTTTATCACATGCTTTCTGCTTCTCAGTCTCTACCTTGAAGTGATTATAATAGATTTCATACTGCTATGTAAGACATTGAAAAATGTCATTCCAGGAATGAATCCAAACTAATAAAGCTGGTTTCCTATGTGATCAAATTTCTAATGTCTCAAAAATGTGTCAGTTTCTTCCTCACTTTTGGCTCCAATTTTGGATTTAATGTTCCTAACTCAAACTAATTTTTATACCCGCCATACTCTATCCCTACAAAAACATGACCAAATCATAATTCTTCTGGTATCGTGCTGGGCCATTCTTAGAATCTGTGTTGCCCAAACTGCATGTTTACATATGAAATGGAATCAGAATCAATCAAATATTTATTTTGGGATGTTACAGGAGGACCAAGATCCATTCACATGTAATAGTGTTTGTATCCTGAACCGAACTGCTTGCCTCACTGAAAGAACAATGCATGAAAAGTATGTAATTAAACAAATGAATAGTGTCATCTGTTTAAGATTTGTGTTCAGCAGAAAGTAAAATAAAAGGAATTTAACAAGTTTTTATGACCATGTTAAAAATGTTTAAAAAACAAGATGTAACCAAACTATCATGTTTTTACTTATAAAAGACAAACCCTTAAGAATATTAATCAGAGTTTATCCTTTCTAAATACTTACTCTGAAGTTGACGGTCTTTGATATTTCCAGTTACTTGCTACTTGAAGTCAATCTTACAAGTATTATACCTACTTCATGATGTTTTTATGTAGAAGTGTTCTAAAGGTCACTGCATCTTCTCTAGTCCTAACAGTAATAGAGGCCATTATGGAAATTTGGAAAACATGGGAAATGTAAAAAAATTGAACTAACCCTTAACCTACTCTTGTGAAATATACACTAGTGCTTACTTATATGTATAAGTATGCATATTGGAAATATTAATTTTTAAAATGTCACTGTAAAATATATTTTCCCAACTGTTATCTTTTCTTCTGTTTCTAAATATTCTTTAAAGATAATATATTTGCCTGATAGTCATTTTATATAATTGGATATTATTTATTTAAACATTTCTCTACTTTTAAACATTTACATTAGCTATACTTTTCTCTTATTATGCATAAATCTGGGAAGAGCATTATCATCATCCATTAAAATCTGAATATAATTCTACTTATTTCCTGAGGGCATATTCTTAGAATTTAAATGATCTGGTAAAAAACAATGAATATTTTATCAATTATTTTTATAAAATGCCAGTTTGCTTTTCAGAAAGATTGTATCAATATACGTTTCCATGTATAGTATTTGAGAAAGCTTCCTGAACACTCAAAGCATTCTGTAATTTTGGTCATTACTTGGCTTTGTATGCAAAAGAAATGCAACCGATAAATAGAGCATTAGTTTACACACAAGGATTTTTATAATGCCTTGGCTTGATGACAAATTAGTATTTGTGGCTCACTCCGAGTATTCTTGTGATGTACTTGAAGAACTAAGAGCTGTTAATGCTAAGTTATTTACCAATGATGCAGTGGGAGCTATACTGACGTATACAAAATGTCTCATAATCTGTTTAAAGATATCCACCATTATCCCACTATTTGTTTTGTCGTCTTTCATTATGGGCCACTTTTGAAGTAAATCTATGTACTGAACTGGCATCACTCTCTTTATATTGATGGGACGAAGTCCTAATGTCTTCCAGCTAATACAGGAAACTTTTTGGCCTTGATTCATGTTAAGGTAGTTTCTAACCTCTTCCTTACAGCAGGTTGAATTCCTGCTGTATTGCATCTCACAGCATCTCTCCTGCTGAGCCTAGCATCTGCATCCCTGTAGGACAATGTATACATACTGTAGCAAAATTAAATTTTTATGTGCTGCTGCATATTGGGTAGCATGAGTATGACAAATCTGCTCTACTCCCTGTGCAAAGAGACAGGACAATACACAATGCATGAGAAGAGGCTGGCTCAGATAAAAGGTCTTTGCAAGAAAACATCCCACGGAGAGAAAAATCTCCCCTACTGGCCTGATCAAACTGCATTTAAGCTTTCATGCCTCTCAAAAGTCTTTGAAAATGACAATTGAAAGGAAGTTGTTATACAGGAAGAGTACATCTGAGTGTATTTTTTTACATAAATAGGGTGGCTACTGGAGAGACAAAACAGCCTAACTTAAATCTCACTTATCCTGCCTCATTTCCTTTCACTCTGCATTGAGAGAGGCAGAACAAAGATACAGAAAGTCCAAATCTGCAGAAAGAAGAGACTGTTGGAGGTTTTCTATAGCAGAGATTTGGGGATTTGGGGCACATGTCATGGCTGGTGATTAATCCCTGGTTTTTGAAGAAAATTTTTATGAGTACTAGTCTCAGCTTTTGAATCAATTTCAGACTCTCTAATATAGACATCAAGGCTATGGAAGTGAAACATTGTCTCTGCATTCAAGCAATTCGTACTTGAGTGAAAAAAGAAAAAAAAAGTAAATCCCAGAAGTGCAATCTACTTGAGTTATTATTACTGTGAGGAAATGTATCTACTTGGAAACACAGAGAACTCAGATTTCACCCTGAGTTGTCAGAGAATAATACTGAGAAGAGGTAGTATTTTAATGAAATCTTGAGGATGAAGATTTCAGCTAAAAGGAAGTTGAGTGGAGAGAGAATTTCTGAGTAAACAGCATGTTCAAGTCTGAGGAATGAAGACATGCTTACGGAATTGCAGTTTATGTGACAAGGGTGCAATATACTTTGTATATTACATTGTACATTATCTTGAATACTGATGTAAAAGTGATATGAGACTAGAGGTGTGATTTTGGAATTTGATAATGAAGACCATTTCATACTAAACAACATCTGTAGCATGTATAAAATGAGGTAATTCGAAAAAATTCAGAAGGATATTTACAAACCAGATAACATAAGGGAAATAATAAGAGAGAGAGAGAGAGAGAGAGAGAGAGAGAGAAAGCCTAACCAGGTAGACTGAAAGTTTGTATTTAAGCTGTGTTTGTCCACAGTTAATTCACTATTATTCTACAATTTCTTATTGTTCTTCTTTCCTGGAACCAGCAGCATTAGCATGTTTCTGTCGATAGCCTAGATTTATCTCTAACTAAAGTTGCCCTACACAGACCATCAGCATTTCTCCTAATACTCAAACATGTCTTTCAATGCTGGGTTCATGATATGTCCCATATCATGTACAGCTCTACAACCTCACATCACTCCTACCAACTTTTCTTCTTCATATTCAATGATCTTGGTCAAAAACTTTCTGATTGTCCAAAAGTATTGGTCACACTATACAATTTTGAATTGAGTTCTTATAAAGGCCTCTTAAAAATTTTTATCTCATATTTTATCTTGATGTTTCTTAATAGTGACATTCTAAAAAATATTGGCCTTGAGACTTTTATTATTCATTAAGTTATGGAAATTTTTCTTTGTCTCCTAAGGGAAAGATTACTTGCCCATAATTGTTGAATTGTTCATTAGGCTTTAGATGACTGGGTGATTGTAGAAGGAGTGTAGCTTTTTTACCTCTAGTCGAGTAAAGTATTTACAATGGTCTTTCTGTTGATGCTTTTTTACATGCTTTAACTCACTTTTTCCTGTAGCTGTTATAACATGTTACTTATCAAAAATCATAACATGATTCCAAATGAGAAAATGAATTATTGCTAAAGCAATGCTGATTTTTATTTTCTATGAGCAACTTTGCTTTCATAAATATCCACCAACTAGTTCCCTTTGGCAAATTTTCCTGACATTGTCCTACTCCAGGCTCAGGCCACCAAATCAGACAAGAGTTTCTGGTAACTGTCATGGTGATTTCCTTATCCAAATTAATTAAGACAATCTTTTTTTTTTTTTTTTTTTTTGAGACGGAGTCTCGCTCTGTCGCCCAGGCTGGAGTGCAGTGGCGGGATCTCGGCTCACTGCAAGCTCCGCCTCCCGGGTTCACGCCATTCTCCTGCCTCAGCCTCCCAAGTAGCTGGGACTACAGGCGCCCGCCACTACGCCCGGCTAATTTTTTGTATTTTTAGTAGAGACGGGGTTTCACCGTTTTAGCCGGGATGGTCTCGATCTCCTGACCTCGTGATCCGCCCGCCTTGGCCTCCCAAAGTGCTGGGATTACAGGCGTGAGCCACCGCGCCCGGCCAATTAAGACAATCTTAAATGCCTGGGTGGTCACACTAAGGCACCCACATTGCTCTTTTAACTCATAATTGAGGTGATGGAAATAATTACCTGTAAATGGCATATTTCACTTTTTTCCAGTGTGCATCAGCACTGTAATTATTTTATTTGTCTAGTTCAAAATATAGTTATATTTTATAAGAAAATAACAAAAATTTTTATCACCCTTCTTAATCATTTAAAAATATTAAATCTGAAATTATTTGGAGATATGTTTTACTATCAGTATGTATATATAGCTTAATAACATGTAGGCACAAAACCTGATAGATTTACTATATGGAAAATATATTTAAAGCACTTCATCCTCAGATTAGGATTATATTTTCCATTTAAAATAACAGGAACTTTACAGGCCAAACACTAACAGATTCAGCAATAATTTTATTCTCTGAAATTCAGCCGGAGCTGCAGAATATAAGAACAAGACTTTGAAAATAAATTGACTGTAAATGTACAGACATTGAAATAATAGGGATAGATACTTTGTTCATAGTTCTCAGCAACATGAGATCTACAAATCAAAGAGCTAGTTTCACCCTTTCTGGATAAATTTTAATGGGTAGGCTTATGAACCTTCTGCTATTTCAGTGGCTGCCACTTGCAAAACGTTCACAGTATATTAGATGTTATTGTCCTTGATTATTCCAAAGCATTTATTGAATGTTTCAAGATTTTATGGAAGGATAGAAAAAAATCTAATGAGTTAACTCTGGGGAGCCATGCCATAATTTCTAAAGTGGATATAAACTTTATCATAAAGAATCTTTAAAAAACAAAAATACAAAATTAAGCCAGAATCCTGCTGGAAGAGACCACGCTATGCCCTGAATGAACTGCAGTAAAGTGTCAAGCTCCACAGACCTAGTGCCCAATATGAAATTTTGTTAGTCTAACCACGTAAACAGTAATATTAATTACAGTTTTCTCCCTTGTTGCAGGCTGTTCCTACCTGTCTACAGTGTAAGGTATGAAATGCTTTCTGTCATGAATTTGTTTAATATGTATATAATTGCTGCTGTTGCATTCATTTTTAGGTCTGACATATGTTGTTTGAGACCCAGTGGCATCCCTTTGGCCTAATTAAAACTTCTTCTCCCTGTGTGGTTATGATATAGGCCACTCTTTACTTATTCCACTGACACAAAATCCAACTGTGAGACAAAGCGGCAAATATAAGAAGCCATGTTTGCTCATTTCAGCTTGTATCCCTGACTCTGTGATGAAATGAAGCTCTCTGGAGGAAGGCCTTGAAGACAAAATAGGATATAGCACATGGCACCCCACATCCCTTCCTTGAATCACTATATTCCTTTGAAAGCTAACCCTAGTGCTTGCCTTTTCCTTCACATAAGATGATGTCTGATGGCATTAATGATTATGTTTCTCTAATCTATAACCAAAGTGTCTTACAGTATGTTGTAAGAATCTATAATGTACTCTTCCGAACCTTGATGTGATTCTGCTTCAATGTAACTTCTGAGCAGATTTGGTGTGATTTTGAACTCCCACTACCTATATATAAGCAGCGAGCTGAAATACCTATGCCCTTTGCCAGAGCAGTCTGACAGAACAGCTCCCAGGCTACAGGCCTTGGTCCATAGTCATCAGAAGACTTCTGAATATAAAACTAACTATAATTCTCTGACTGCTTCGTTTTCTTTTCTTTAGTTAACAGAACACACCCCACAGCTGCTGCCATGATAAAATTTAATAATCAACACCACAGTCATGTAAATAACTTGATCTCTTCCCATGTGTGTTTTCTTTAAATAGTGAATCCACAACCCCCGATGGGAAATCTAAGGGATATTTTCCATGGACCTGTATTAAAGCATAGTCCCAACGGTTTTTCCTCTTGTTTTCTCTCTCCCTCCTCACCCACTAATTGAGCTCTCCACCACCCTCTGTTTCATGCATTTTTATTTCACCTACTCATTGTGTCTGATATGACTGACACACACAACAAACCTAACTTTCCCCTCTTGTCAGGTCTCTCCTAGAGAGTGGTTATCTTGGCTTGTGGCCACTCTCAACAGAGAGATCACAAGACCAACTCCAAAATAAATTAAAATAGAAATCGTAACACCTTACATACATGAATCTGCTGGGATGAAACAATGAAAGTTTGTACTTTATGAACACTGACATGTTGAGCCCACAACTTAAATGTTGAGTGTTACTGCCTAAATGCCATTTCAAGTGATTTCTAGCTTATTTCACCAAATGGTGAATAAAAAATACCTCCAGGCAAGTAATACTCAGCTTGCCTCTGTTGAGTTAGAAGATATAGCTTTGGACTATGCTTGTTTCCTCCATACTCATATCCTCCCTTCCAAATGTTGTTTGATAACATTTTATGAATGAGATTTAGCCTTAAATCTTTCCATGCTTTTCCTCCATGTCCAAAATTCTAAGCAAACTTAGGAGCAAAGACAAAAAAAAAAAAACAAAAAAAAAAAACTGAACTTTTAAGGCACAGTAATTATAAAGGTAATTACGTTTTCCTTGTGGAAGACCTAATGACATGTTCTTGGAAGTTAAATACAAACTTAATTAAACATATTATACAGGTCGAGCATTCCTAATTTGAAAATTCAAAATCAGAGATGCTCCAAAATCTGAAACTATTTCAGCACAGACACGATGACACAAGTAGAAAATTCCACACATATGTACTTAACACAAACTTTGTTTCTGGTATAAAATTATTTTAAAATATTGCATAAAATTACATGTATAAGGTGAATATAAAACATAAATAGTTTTCATCTAGACTTGGCTCCTATCTCCAAGCTCCAAGATACTGCAGTATAGATCTCTCTCTCTCTCTCTCTCCCAAAATCTGAAAAAAATATGAAATGCAAAACATATCTGGTCCCAAGCATTTCAGATTAAGGAAATTCAATCTGTATAGCATGAAGCCTGAGTAATTTTACTAATCATCTCTGCTACATCAAAAAAGGAGACCTGTCTAATAATTGTAGCTGAAATCGCATATAAATAGCAAAAAGCAATTGTCTAGAATATGATACTTACCATACTGTTCCTCCTCGATTTTTCTTTTTAGGGTAACTAGATTATGACTGTAAAAAGAAAGCACCTAACTCTCCAAAGTAAAGAGAATTTTCCAATCCAGAGTAAAGGTTTTGTTTATAATAGAGAGAATAGGTGGACCCTTGATAGAAAAAGAAAATAAATGTTGAACCTATCCATGCTTTTCCTTCATGTCCGAAGTTCTGAATTTTTTCTTAAATTCCAAAGTAATAAAAACCATTTTATTCCCACAATTATTAAACCAGTATATAAAGTAACCATTCCTTTTATAAACGTTGAGTCTCCCCTGCCATGGCTTACAGCATGAGAAGGGAGGAGAAGGGCTTCATGATAGATCAGTACTTTACAGCCTTCCTACAGCAATATGTGTATACCAATGGCATAGCTGAGGAGTGTTTTCCTGACTGTTCTGAGTATTATCTAATCTTACAAAAACAGAACCTCTGTTCATCAACATTGAGTGATATACGAATATCTAGACTCCTATTGCAGAAAACTGCTCCTAGATTATTGGGTTATTTAATAATGGCATAATATTTTTAAGGACAAGTGTTTATAGTTATATGGTACTGGGGATGTGATACCATCATTATATACATATTCAAGGCCAAGGAAATCCACAAAATTTTAAGAAGACAGCAGGGACTGGTCTCCCTCTTCCATTATGGATGCAGCCTTCTCACCCTGCATTCAACTCTATTAAATAGCTGAAAAATTAAAATATTTGGACAAAACCATTTTAACATCGTGTGATGATTTATTTTATGTGTCAACTTGACTGGGCCAAAGGATACTCAGATATTTGGTCAAATATTTTTCTAAGTATGACTGGGAGGATGTTTTGTGGGGAGATTAATATCTGAGTCAGTAGACTGGTAAAGCAGACTGCCCTTTTGAGTGTGGGTGAGCCTAACCCAATCAGTTGAAAGGCTGAGTAGAACAAAAAACCTGACACTTTGTGAATAAGAAGGGATTCCTCCAGCCTCACTGCTTTCGTTTGTGACATCAGTTTTTTCTTACCTTTGGATTTGAGCTAAAGGTCACCTCTTCTTGAGTCTCAAATCTGCCAGCTTTCAGACTGGAACTCACACCATTAGGTCTCTTGGTTCTCAGATCTTTTCCCTGGATCTCCAGCTTACTGACTTCAGATCCTGGGACTTCTCAGTCCTTATAATTGTGTGAGCCAATTGCTTTTGATAAATATATTTTATTAAAGGAAAAGGAAAAAGGAGTCATTGTATAAAAAAGGATACTTGCACACTAATGTTTAAAGCAGCACAATTTGCAATTGCAAAAATGTGGAGCTAGTTCAAAGACTCATCAATCAACAAGTGGATTAAAAAACTGTGAGATATATATATATATATCACACATATATATGTTATATGTGTGAACACACACACATATATATGATGGAACACTACTCAGCCATAATAAGGAATGAATTAATGGTATTCACAGCAACCTGGATGGGATTACATACTACTATTGTAAATGAAGTAACTCAGAAATGGAATACCAAATATTGTATGTTCTCACTCATAAATGTGAGCTAAGAAATGAGGATGTAAAGGCATAAGAATGATACAGTGAACTTCGGGGACTCAGGGGGAAAGAATGGGAAGGCGGTGAGGGATAAAAGACTACAAATTGGGTTCAGTCTATACTGCTTGGATGATGGGTGCACCAAAATCTCACAAATCACCACTAAAGAAATTACTCACGTGAAAAAAGAAATTACTCATGTAACCAATTGCCACCTGTTCCCTAAAAACCTATGGAAATAATTTGTTTAAGTTGTATATAATAGTCCTTGAAAGAAACACAACCAACGAGATATATATATATATACACGCACACACACGTGGGTATACATAGACATATATGTATTCATGTATATATTTCTTTGAATAACCCTGACTCTTACTAACATACACATGGCCACATCGACACATCCAATTAATTGAAGAAGTTTAACATTTGCTCAACATTTTGAGCACATGGAAAAAATATTATCAGTTTTGAAACAACCATTTACATTTAAAAATGTTTCCATTTTGCTTTCATTTCTACATTCTCATCTAGTTCTCTTTCCCACTGACAGTCCACTAAAAAAAGGTTGTGGATATGTAGCATAATTGAAGAATTTTAGATTGGGCATCAGAATATCTGTACCTGAACATAGAATTTATCTATTAGTATAATATGTAAACTTGAACAATTCATTTCTCCTTCCAGATACTACATTTGTCATCTTTAAATTAAAGACAAATGTATGTTTTTTTATGGTAGTATTGTAAGAATTGAGAATTAAAATATAGTTTTTTAGCAAATTATAAAATATCATCTGATGTAAGCTTACTGTGTTCATAATAGTAACAGTAATGTTATTATTAGTACTTTCCCTAAAACATGTAAAATCCAAATATATAAAACAATTTTACTTTTTCAAGTATAATGGAGAAACATGCTATGCTATTCTGTAGTCTGATACCATTTTCTTTTCCCTCTTGAATTATACTTGATATAGCTTTTAATTCAGTCCATCCTAAGCTCAGTTTAGATGATAAATTCATAGTAGTTTATCATAGTTAATTCTTCAGCTATATATCATGATTTATTTAAAGTAAAATTGCAGAAAGAAAAGAAAAATTTTTATAACTTAATTTTATCATTCATCATTATGTCTCCTACAGAAATAAAGCTAAAAAATATTGATGAATTTTTTTTCAAAGATGCAAAAGAGAAAGTTTAAATAAAATATGTGTCTTCCAGGGCTCAAATAAGAAAAATACAATGGAAATTCATCTATAGAATTCATAGTAGGCACAAGTTTGCAATGTCAAGCTTTACTTGATATAAAAATCTATACAGATGAAGGTTCTGCTCTGAAAACACTGTGTTAGGTCTTTACAATACATTAGATTTAACTTTCCTCTCTTTTTCCCTGCTACTACTTATGATAATATTGATGAGGAAAAAAACATTATTAGGCACTAACAATGTGCTAAACTCTAATGCAATCTCCATAATACGTTATTATTTTTATCTTTAAAAGAACACTACAAATAGGTAATGTTGCACTCTTTAACAGAAGGAAAATGAGGATAAAGAGGTTAGAAACTTACCGTGTTAGTAAGAGGATTGCTTGAATATGCTCTGTTGTCCACATCACAGGCTTAATGAAAATCTGCATGGTTAGCAGTTGCTAAACGCCTATCTATTTCCTCTCAGTGGCCTCAGATCCTTCCCTCGTTTGCCATATTCAGACATTTCACAAATTCAGATCTCCATTGCCTTACTCTGGGATTACTAACCGAGTTTCCCAGCTGACCTCCACACTAGCAGTTTTTCAGCAGTTACTCTTACCCTCTGTGTAGAAGCTATCATCAACAACAGAACAGAAATAATGAGCCCCAACAAACAGAGAGGTAAAGGAGAGTAGACAGCCTGGGGAGACCAACTTATGTACTAACAAGAGCAGTTTTCTCACTTGGAGTCACATTCTCCTGTGCTGTTCTCCCCCTGTGCTCTTCCATTCCAGCTCTGTAGCTGACAGGGACCTTTTCTTAAAACACCTGTCCCTCCTTTGTTCACTTTGCTTCACTCACTGATTTTAATGACTACACTGTGTGGATTTTGATTGCTTTTAAAATAAATTTTTATATTTTTTAATAAAGCCATACACCATTTGTGCAATCAGAATAAAATATCAGAGGACAAGCAACAAATTGATTGAGAACGTAAGCCTTGGAGACAGTAAAATTTAGGCACATAATACCGATTTGATCAATATCTCAGACAAGTTAACAAACTTGTTTGGCCTCAGATCTCTCATATATAAAAATAGGGAAATAGCTATATTTTGCATGTTAAGATACTATGAGAAAATGTGGAAATTTTCTCAGCATGCAGAAGAAATTTAACATATAGAAGCATTTTCCCTGCCTTGCACCTTCTATCAACTGGTCAATTTAATAACATGAATCTTACTATCGATTTTTGATAGATAGATGATATAGATAGATGATAGATAGATAGATAGATAATGATAGGTAGACAGATAATTTTAATGAAACAGGTTTAAGTTGCTAAGCCACAGGGTTATGGGTTTAGGCAAAAAATACCAAGCTCAATAAATGATTTTGAATAGTGTTTTCATACTAATTGTAAAGAAGGTAAGAGTGATCAGAAAAAATACCAAGAAGATGTAAGAGAGCAAAGTATTAACAGGATAATAGGATCCCACCTTTAAGTGTATAATTTCTGGTGTTCCTGAGGAAAGAAATTTGTCTTATGTTACATTGTATCAACATATATCCAATAGAGCATGAAATTGCTTCTCTGCATTTTCACTTTTTTACCTTTCCCCAAAGCCCGTATCATGTCCAGATATGTTTTATAGTGAAAACCCTCTGTCAAGAAGAGGGACTATTACAGAAAACCTTAGACCCATCTCCCTGTTGCCACTTTTCCAGTGGCTAGAAAAAAGTGAATTATTATTCCTGTGCATTAGGCTAATGAAAACTGTTACCTGATATTTATAATTTTATATACTAGTAAAATTGTAGTTTTATTATGAGGTACTTTGTATGATAAATAAATGGTTTCTTTATCATGAATAGATTAAATTAGCTTACTAATGTTATAAAAATTTAATATTCCTAACTGGACATTCCTAATGAGAAGTTATCTCTTTTAAAACTATGAAATGTTTCCCACCTATGTGGTAATGAACAAAATATATTACTTTAATAACATTCAAATTGGCAATAAAACAGTTATCATATATATTAATAAAAGTATATTGATATATCATGAAAAAGAAATCAGAGTGAGTTCGGAAAATGTCTTTCCCACTATGAATTTATTCAAGATTAAAATATACAAGTTTGAATTAGTGATAAAACATTTCCTTTTACAATTGCATAATGAATTATAATTTTTTAATAAACCCATGACCATAAAATATATTATATTTTTTAGGATACTTGCAAGTATATTTAAAGAGTAGCAGTTCATGTCAACAAACATTAGGTAATTTGGGAAAATCTATGTTATTCATTCATTTATTCTGTTCTCCTGGCTTTTGGCATGTGTAGTTGCAGGTGCTGGGCTGGACAGGTACATGTTTCTCAGTTTGAAGATGAGTGCTAGAAGTCTATGATTCCTTCAGTTCTGTGGATCTTTGACTTTGTTGCCACTTTTACGGTACAAGCTGACTTCGCGGATCTGAATCGCTGAAGCAGATTTTATATAACCATCTTCACTGGTGACTAATTCATGACTAAACTGTAAATGGTTTGGTAATGTTCTCTGTAGAAATGTAGCAACTGCCAGCTCATTCTCTCATTAGCATGCTCTTCCAGCAAGAGAAAGACACTTCCATTAAATCTTTAAGTGGAATATATATGCCTTGAAGATTGAAATCACTAATTTTGTTTGGTCAAAACATCTACCATAGATCATTGGCCTTAGTAGGTGCTTAATAACTGTTTTTGGATTACAGTTCCACAATATCACTTTTAATGTGGTTTGGTATTAATAGAGGTGATCTTCAGACAGATTTGTATTATTGCACACATTCTCTGAGTGGGCCAATGTGCACAGCAAAGCCGCTTAGAACATTATTTTGACTTTAGGATATCCAAAATGCAAAGGCAACAGAATTTTTAAAATTCAAAGAAATAAATAGGATCTGACATAGTTCAAAATATAGCTAGAATTTGAAAAAGACTGGGCAATGCATTTAAAAAAAATTGAGTAAGGCCAACAGTGGCAAACCTGGGAGAATTTTCACGCTCTTGTGGAATGGTTAATCCTCTAAATGTTCCATCTAGTATCTAAGCCCACCTGCTCATAAAAAGGAAAATTTTAAGTTTTAGTCACTTGTCTTTTGGGAAAGATTATATAATTGTACCATGATATCTTTCATATATCACAAAAGGGAGGCAGCGAACACGTGGGAAATGAATTTGGAAAGCCCTATAAAACTTAATTTAAATTTTTGTTAAGTATCTTAAGTTCCTGAATCTGAGTTGTTATCTGTACAGTGAAAATTATTATATATCTGAGCCACGATTATGGCAAGGATTATTCAGAATGTCTCTGGAAAATTTTTATAAGCTATAAAGAATTTGTAACCTTATATATTATAAATGTAAAAAACAAATATATGCATGATGCAGTGCTGATAATGATCATGAAACAATGAGATGAGACTAGAGAAGAACTTTATATGAATACATGTGTCAATACATACTCAAAAATTAAGTCTGCATAGTATTCCATGGTGTATATGTGCCATATTTTCTTTATCCAGCCTATCATTGATGGGTATTTGGGTTGGTTCCAAGTCTTTGCTACTGTGAACAGTACTGCAATAAACATATGTGTGAATGTGTTTTATAGTAGAATGATTTATAATCCTTTGGGTATATACCCAGTAATGGGATTGCTGAGTCAAAAGGATGAGTTCATATCCTTTGCAGGGACACGGATGAAGCTAGAAACCATCATTCTCAGCAAACTAACACAGGAACAGAAAACCAAACACTGCATGTTCTCACTCATAAGTGGGAGTTGGACAATGAGAACACATGCACACAGGGAGGGGAACATCACACACTGGGGACTGTCAGGGGACGGGGGGCTAGGGAAGGGATAGCATTAGGAGAAATACCTAATGTAGATGATGGGGTGATGGGTGCAGCAAGCCACCATGGTACATATATAACTATGTAACAAACCTGCACGTACTGCACATGTATCCCAGAACTTAAAGTATAATAAAATAATAAAAAAGACCTGTCACAATAAAAAATATGTCAAAAGATTTACCTTGGATATGGCTTAACTTTACCTTCTTTCCATCAATCTCCAACTGCTAAAGAATTGAATTTAGCAAAGTATATGTTACAGTCTGAATGACACATAAATGCTTTATCAATTACTATTCTCTAGTAGCAACTTTATTTAAAAGAATATTTAAATAAATGTTTTGGAAGGAAAAGAATTAAAGGAAGTAATTTTGGAACATGAACATTGGGAAAAGAAGGCAGGCTTTGGATCCAGCTCAGCTGGGTGGAAACTTCACCCAGCCACGGCATAATTGATTTTCCTAGGGCTGGGTACTTAAACTGCCTTTTCCTAAAACTCAGCTTCCTCACTGATTGTAAAGTCATATTTTTACAGGGGGAATTTTAATATCTCATGGAGTTGTGTGAGGATTTTATAGAAAAATATATTTTTTTTCTCATTCAGCGATGTTTATTGAGTCTCTACCATGTCCTAGATGCTGGTTCCCAAATAATATTGGTAAGAACCTCAAGATGGAGATTTCATGTCTGTCTGGTGCTGTCATTCATTTTTAACAAACATGTATTATCTGTATCTCTCTCTCTCTCGCTCTTTTTTTTTTTCAGATGGGGTCTCACTCTGTTGCCCAGGCTAGAGTGTAGTGGTGCAATCTCGGCTCACTGCAACCTCTACCTTCCAGGTTCAAGCGGTTCTCTTACCTCAGCCTCCCGAGCATAGGCATGCACCATCACTTTTGTATTTTTCATAGAGACGGGGTTTCACCATTTTGCCAGGCTGGTCTTGAACTCCTTACCTCAGGTGATCTGCCTGCCTTGACCTCCCAAAGTGCTAGGATTACAGGTATGAGTCATTGCAGTCGGCCTATAATTCTCTTTATTTACTACAAGGAACATAATAATAATTTTAATTGTGACATGACTGATGCTATATATTTCAGGATATGTTCTCATGCAGGAGCTACATAGATCCATCAGGTTCATGGTAATTTGGATGTCATTATTACCCTTGTTTAGCAAAGAATAATGTATAATCTCAACTTTATCCCAAAGGAGTACATTTTGAACTTGCATTTAATTTGTATACATAGCCCTCAGAAACCTCAAGTACCTAGTAGAAGAAGTTTTGAAGTTTGTCTTCTAGAAAATTAGCTCTTCACTGACTCACACTCAAATTGTAGCATAGAGTCAAGTGGCATTTCCACCTTTCAGGACTCTCAAAATTTAGATGTACTTCCGTTATTGTAATTGAAGGGTGGTATAGGAATGTCTAACTTAAAGTAACTACCTGGATAAAACAAGTAATCAAAAGTAATCTTTCAAAGCAAATATCTGGTCATTCGAGGCTACTCTGTCATATGGTAAATGCCAATCTTTATGTGGGTGAGGTGACGCAGGAGAGAGATTTCAAAGGCTTTCTTGAATTTGTCAGCAGAATTTTACTTTAATTCTATTTGCATTTTAAGTTTCTGCAATACGTGTCCCTTCACTAACTGAAATGCTTTAGAAGCATTACCATTATCTTCCCTCCTTTAAGGCAGATCTGTGTGAGAAGTCAACTGCATGGTGAAAATGAAATAACAAAGGAATGAAAAATTGTTCATATATTAATGTATGAGCCCTTGGGATCAAATGGGTTTAATACACAGGCTTGTTCTTAAAAGTACTAACTAATGTGTCAGGATTTCACTCTTTGTGTTTACATTTTCTAAGCACCTACTTGCTACACCGTGAGACATTTTGTACAGTCTATTAAGTTTCTACTTTAATTACTGGCCCCTTCCAGTACTGCCTCCTGAGATGATAATATACTACTTTGATGGGGAATTTAGGAATCCCAAAACTTTTTAGTAATACATTTACAGACAATTTGAGTTACTCCCAACAGATGGCTAATTACATCTATTGTGGGGTGATTTAGCTCTTGGAGGCAATCTTATTACCCGGTTCTTGTTTGAAGACAGGACAGCTTACTGTTTGCCTGTTGTTACACTATATTTGGAAGAAGCATTAGGGGTCATCTCCAACTCCCTCATTATGAAGATGTAAGAACTTACTTTGATAGAGTAACTGGGTAAATCACTTACAAAAATAACAAACTCTAATTTGGGGACGAAGTAGGCAAAACAATGTGCTTTTTTGCATTCAAGGGGGTTGTTTTTTTTAGTTGCTTAGAATGAGGTTAAGAAACAACATACCCAATACTCTATTTGAAAAGGCAAAATGTGATACATATACTAATAGAAAAAGAGAAAGGGCAATGGGAAAATATGGTGTTGTTTGGTAAAGGCAGTGACATTTAATCCAAATCTTGAAGAGTAGGTAAGATTTTGATACAAAATGATTAGGAGGACGTGATAATTTTTTAGAAGGAAGGAGGAAATCACGTTAGCCAAGGCATACAGGGCTTTTAGGATGGAAGCAAAAAGCCTGTTGAGTTCAGTTTAGTGAGAGATCTGGTGCTAAAAGCAGCTTGAGCTATAGGAAAAGTTCCAGACAAAATAAATTGGATTTTATTTTATAAGGAATTGAAAGTCATTGAAAATATTATCAAAGTAAAGGAATAACATGTTGAGAGATTTTTTTAGAAAGATAACTCATCTGCAAAAATATTGCCATCACATACACACAAAATAGATGTGGATTGTATGGGTAAAGGTCTGAGGCTGCTTATGACAAAATGAGAGATACCTTTGAAAATTTATGTTTGCTATAAAATGTCTCCCAATATGTTGCAATATGTATCAAATATGCCTTTCATTTCTTAATATTTAATTTTCAAGTGCCTTATTTATTGCTCAATATCACCTTCTTTTCATATGTCAAGTAGAAGAACATATTTATCCTATGCCTTCATTTAAACTTTGACTAAAACCTTTCAGACTTCCTAGCTTAGTTTTAGAATAAGAAATTAAAGTCATATTAAAAATTCTATAAGGATATTAGTAGTAATAACAATTACACGCAGCAGAAATAGTTACCATTTTGTGTGCTTGTAAGTCAGCATAGATATATGCTTTATATGCAGCCTGTAAATTATACCCATATTGATTGTATTATGTAAGTATTACAGTTGTCTTCATTTTACCCGATGAGTACCCTAGGGCTTAGAGACTACTAAAATAGTCCAAGCTCAGAAGGACAGTAAGAATGTATCTGGTAATTTAAGATTAAATGCTTAAAATCTGATTTTAACCATTTAAACTGATTAAAATGGAAAAACCCATTTTAAGATTTCTCAAAATAAGGAAAAAAATACTGTAACATTCTATCAAAATTCCATTACTAGGAGATGATTATTTATATTTTGGGGGCAAATTTTATTTACACCCCCATTCACATGCATGAAGAGCTTTGAATTTGCATTCTATATACAAATGTATCTTCTCTATAATATAAAGTTTTCTTGGGTTTTCCTGAAACGAAGTTATAATTAAAGTTTCTATTGACTTTTTGAGGAAGAAACATGTGAAAAGTAACTTCATCTATGAAAAAAAGATGATTTTCTTTCCTCTAGACCCAGGAAAGTTCTTAAGAGCATAAGAGTCTTATGAGCAAGTTTTACATTTCAAGGCCACAAGTTCCAAAACATGATGATAGCCTATTAGGAAAGAGAAAAGTGATATGCAAAGTCACTTGACTCCTGAAAGAGTTATCTTTGAGGCATCTTCTAAAGAAAGAGCAAGCAATTTGGAGGGACATGCAGTACAAGCAACCTCCTTAATTGTGCCCAAACCATTGGTCCTTGTTTTATATACTCAATACGATGCTGCCCACGCAAAAGAAAAATCCTAGTTACACAGGAACAATAAGATCTGGTAGTTGACAGTATAACATTGTGTACATGAGAGCCAAAATGATATTTTTTGTAAGGCAAATATTATCATATAAATTATCTTATTAAAACTCTACCAGTGTTTTGTTTTGCTGTAATGCATAGCAATTATTTCTACCAACACTAGACTAATAGCAAGAGAAGGGGGAGAGATTTTTCACATAAAAGATTGCTGCTGCTCTTAGAATAAAAGAAATAGCTTGTAAACAGAATATTGAGCCTTATGTGGTCTGCCAGGTCTCTCTAGACTCAGGCTACCATGCTGTCCACACTGGCTAAATCCAGTCCTTCCCAACATTGACAGGAAGATCTATAGTTCAGGTTTGGATAACTGAATTTTATATATCTATTTGGCGTCCAAGTAAAGACACCAATAAAACCGGTTTGAATATGTAAGTCAGAGTTTCGAAAGAGAGGTCACTATATGGAGCTAGAATTTGGCAGTAATTGACAGAAAGATAATATTTAAAGCCATGAAACCAAATGAGACCACCAAGGCAGAGAATATAAAAAAAGAGAAGAGGTCCAAGGATCAAGCTCTGTGGTTTTATTATGAAGAGGAGTCGGCAAAGGAAACTGAAAGTGAGTCAGTAGTTGAACCAAGAGAGTGGTGCTCTGTGTATTGAGGGAACAAACTGTATCTAGGAGGAGAGACTCAGAGTGGTAGCTCAGTTCTGCTAAAAAGTCATAAGTAAAATGAGATCTAAGAACAGGTTACAGGATTTAACAATGGATGATGAGGATTCGTGAGTGGCATTGATAAAAAGTGGGATGCTGGAGCAAAAACTGGACCGAAATGTTTTTAAGAAATAATATATTTAAGAAACAATGAGATGGTGAATAGAAACCCATAATTTAAACATTAAACTATCATCAAAAATTAGATTTTGTTGCAATTTATTACTAAGAGCAATAAACAGATAAAACAAAGGGCAATAAATGGATTTGTTTATGTAATTGTCTGATTATTTTCTGAAAATGATAATTTCCAGTGGTGAAATTACTGGGTGAAAAAGTCAAAATATTATTTAAAAAATGATTCTTCTTGCACATTCTTATGGTGCTGAAAAAAAATTGTTGCCTCGCCTTTTTGACTGTTAGATTATTCCTGTTTTCTGTATTATTTGGACAGAACTTACACAATATTCTATTAATAATAGTAAAAAAAGTCATATTTTATACATAAAAAAGTGTCTTCTGTTTTACTATTAGATGTGAAACTAGCTACTAGATTGACCATATTTTTTATTATGAAATCAATAACATGTTCATCATAAACAATGTGACAATTGTAAAAAAAATGGCAAAAAATAAAAGCCCCCATTTACTGAGATGCTTTTATATATCTTGATAAATTGTTGCAGTTTTCATCATAACAATTGTAGATTCCACATAGTTCTTTTGAAGAATATGTTCTCTAAATGTGTGGTGTTTTGTTGTGTAGTGTTTTGTTCATACCTATTTTGTCCTTGGCCTATCTAGTGAGACAGTCATTATTTGATTTTCATTTTATAACTGGCACTTTTCCATATGCTGCCTCACAAAAATCTGTGGGTCAGACACAGGACAAGATTTCAAACAGTTCTTCACACATATCTATTGAAAACTAACTAAATCAGAAGGAAATACCTCCCTCTGTCTTTTGTCATTTGTCAGGATTTCTTCCACCTAATTTTATCAGTAAGTCTTTCTTATTGTTCTATAGAGCATAATAACTTTCTGAGTTTTTTTAAAGAATAGTTTTAATTATCCCTATATTTATTATGAAGTCCTATTATCCAGAGCAAGAATTGGCAAATCATGCATGGCCTGTTCGTCAATTCTGCAGTCCCTTGTTTACAAAAAGTTTGCAGAAAGGGTTTTATTGGAATTCAGCCATGCTTATGCAATTACATATTGTCTGTGGCTGCTTTTGCACAGCAGTAGAACTGCAAAGTTGCAACAGTTTTTATGGTCTGAGAAGCCTAAAATATGTACTATCTGCCACTTTACAGGAAAATAAAATAGTTACAATCCCATCTAGAGCAGTAGTTCTCAAAAATTTTCCCTTTGCTGTCTTAAAAATAATTGAAGATGCCAAAGATCTTTTTTATGAGTTATGCCTACCTATATGTGCTGTATTAGAAATTAAATTTGAGAAATTTAAAAAACAATTATTAATTTATTTAAAATAACACGTTTACCCATGACATGTTAACATAAATTACACTTTCTGAGAATAATAATTATATCTTCCAAAATGAATTGGTGTAGTGATATGAGTGTTTTACATTCTTTGCAAATCTCCTTAATGACTGGCATAATAAAATACAATATTCTCATATCTGCTTCTGTATTTAATTTGTTGTTATTTGATGTTTTGTTTGAAGTAGATAAAGAGAATACAGCCTCACATGGATATGTATTTGGAAAATGAGGAGTATCATAATGGCTTTTCAGCTAACTGGGAATACTAAACAAGTTGTAGTTTCATAAACGTTAGTTGCACTGAAGGCTCTGAGACACTATCAATCAACTTTTCTCAAACTCTGTTATATTCTACTTGCACTTTGAATAGATACTCTACTTATGCACGATTTTGTAATATCTTTACAGCATTTAATTCCAAAAATACACAGTTTTTAAAACCCCCAATCTCATCAGAAAGACTTTATGCATTGAAACACTAGTTAACTCAAAAGAGAGAATATAAGATTTCCATTATTCTAATACTTAAAAGCTCACATTGCGTTATTGCCAGAAATGTGAGGTTTTTTGTTGTTGTTGCTGGGTTTTTGTTTGTTTGTTTTTTGCAACAACTGACTTCACTGATTTTGGGGAAAAAAATGTCTACTTATTACCCAAGTCACAATAAGCATGGTTTAGCTATCAATTATGCTTTCAAGTAAAAATGTTTCTCCACTTATAAATGCAGTTAGTTCAGCCAACAACAGAAACAATTACACAACTGTTTTTTCCTAGAGTCAACCATGTACTTTCATATGCAAGAGAAGTCCTTGCACTTTGTTACACAGGACATTAAAAAGACTCTCAGGAGTTTGTGAACCACCCTATGCGAATTAATAATCTAGTTTCTTATTTATTTTGTTCCTTGTCACTTTCACCATTTACCAGTCCTAAGGATGACTTTGGTATCTTCTAAATTCAGGTAGAAAAAACTCACCATGTATGCTAGATATCACAGACAAATTTCTCGCATTCTTTGTGCACAGGTACCTTGTCTGTCTTGGCCCTACAAGTTCTGACTCCCAGCAATCTGGAAACCTCGTTATAAAATCTATATTTCTTCCAGATATTTTGGTAGATTTCCCTGGCCAATCGTTTGGAAGTAAGAAGAACGGTTAGCTAGTACATAACATTGGAGCAACCCAGACAAACTGCTTGAAGCTTCATTGTCTCCTCAGTAAACTGGAGGTATGATTGTGTTGTGCTTGTCTCACAGAATACTGAGATAACAGTTTAGATTATCTATCTCCACCTCCCCAGTTTTATTTATGCTTAATTGACAAATAAACTATTTATTATTGTTGATCATTTTTGTAGAGACAGGGTCTTTCTATGTTGCCTCAGCCTCCCAAAGTGCTAGGATTACAAGCGTGAGCCACCCCACTCAGCCAATACTGTATTTTTGATCCATGGTTTGTTGAAGCCACAGATATGGAACCTGAGGATATGAAGGGCCAACTGTACTGACTGATCTCACATATAAGTTCCTGATGTCAGTGGGAAAACTTCGCTTTTCTCATCATTAAGTGTGATGTTTGTCGTGGGTTTTGGTAAATACCATTAATCACATTGTGGACCCTCTCTTCCTAGGTAACTGAGAGTTTTTATACTGAATGGATCTTAGATGTTGTCAAATGCTTTTTCTACATTTAATAATACAATCATATGACTATTTTTCTCTAGCTTATTGATATAACTTAATTAGTTAATATTTATTTATATTATTTTAATTGACAAATCATAATTGTATAAATTGATGGGGGACAGTGTTTTTTTGTTTTTTTACAATTTGGCTTTTCATTATTAGAAATAAACATCACCCATTTTAATATATATATATGTGTGTGTATATATATATATATCCTTACAGTCTTCTTGATAAGCTGACAGCAGAGTCAAATGAGGCACAAATGTATATTAATTTCAGAGAAATCCTTACAAACCATAGCCTAAAACTTTTTGTCTTGTCTCATTATTTTATATTTAAATATAAAATTTATTGCAGGTTGATTATTTTTGTCCAAAATGCATGATACTCAAACGTTAGTTAATACAAATAACTTTTATCTATTTTGATATCATGACTTATTAATTGTAGCTTGCAACTTCTATAAGTTGTCTCCAAACCAAGTCTATACCAATTTGCTATTTCGCAAATTTGTTCACAAGCCATACATTTCATTACATAATAAATTTAAAGTAAATTAAACAGCACATTATTAATTAAACAGGAAAAGAAGTCAGAATTATTCAAGTTTGTATTTAAATGAAATCAATAATTGTTCATAATGATTTACCTAAAATAAAGTAATTTAACTTTTCATTTCTTATATACTATAACATTTTTAAATAACTAAAATATCTCCCATGATGGTTTGCAGAAATTTTTCTATGCAAGTCAAAACAAGTGAAACCTTTAAAGAAGCCAGGAAAAAAAATGTGTCAATAATTATTTGTATCCATTTTAAAGGGAATGTTGCCATTCTTGAATGGATGACTGGTAACTGGATAATATGAGGCCTCATCAGTTGCAGAAGGGAGAGTAAAGGCCAATGGGATAGTCCTTTGATTAGAATAAAATGTTATGAAACCATTCTTGCCGTGCCTTTCCCTGTCTACATCGTAAAAGCATCTTTTATAATTTCCTGTTCTAGCTCTCAGTGAAAATCAGTGATCTCTTCAAATAAATGCTAACCTTAAATATGTTACACAAATCCCTATATTACTTATGTTCTCTTTGCTCTTTGAAGATATATATAGATATTTATATTATTTTGAAATGCTAATCATAAATCAGCAGCAGTTACCCATTAATATATGGGCATTATTTGAATCATCTTATTTGGTGTGTTTATTCATGTTCAAGTTCTGACTTTATTATTAATTTATTTTGATTAGAGTAAATACATTTTACATCTACTATTACATCCAAATGCAGCTAACAAAATTCAAAATGATTCAGATCAGCATCATTATTTTCCAAGAATATCGATGTTGCTTGACTATTCCAGCTGTTAATTACTTGATTAATTTAATTATTATTGTAGATTTAGGGAATATATCATGTTTGTTACACAGATACTTAGGGTAATGAAGTTTGGGCTTCTAGTGTACCCATCACCCAAATAGTGAGCATTGTACCCAGTAGATAATTTATAGATATCTATTAATAGATAATAGATAATTTTTCAACCCTCACCCCCTTTCCCAAGGTCTCCTCTTTTGTAGTCCTCAGTATCTATTATTTCCATCTTTCTGTCATGATGTCCATATGTACCCATTGTTTAGCTCCCAACTCTAAGTGAGAACATGTAGTGTTTTATTTTTGGTTTCTGAGTTATTTCACGTAGGATAATAGCCTCTATCTCCATCCATGTTACTGCAAAGGACAGGATTTCATTATTTTTATGGCTGCATTACATTCTATAGTGTACATATATCACAGTTTCTTTATCCAGTCAACCACTGATGGATGGTTAGGTTGATTCCATGATTTTGCTATTGTGAATAGTGCTGTGATAAACACTGCAATGGACGTTTCTCTTTTATATAATGATTCTCTTTCCATTGGGTAGATATTCAGTAGTGGGCTTGCTGGATTGACTGGTACCTCTCTTTTTAGTTCTTTAAGAAATCTCCATACTGTTTTCCATATATTTTATATTAATTTACAATCCCAACAACAGTGTATAAATGTTTCATTTTCTCTGCATCCAGAGTGATGTTTTGATACATGTATACAGTGTAGGATGATTAAATCAAACTAAATATCAACCAGTTATCATTAGTAGGTTTTTCAAGTCAGTTAAATTTAGCATTTGGGGGTTGTTCTTAATTAATTTTTTTAATGTTGAACCAGCTTTGCCTACTGCAGTTTAGAATTCTTTTTATACGTTGTTGGATTCAATTTGCTAAGATTTCATTGACAATTTTTGCACCTATATTCATGGATGATATTGGTCTTTAGTTTTATTTTCTTGTGTCTTTGTCTGGATTTGATTCTAGGGTTATGGTGGTCCTATAAAATGGGTTAGCAAGTATTCCCTCTGCCTCAATTTTCTGCAAGAGGTTATAAAGAATTGGCATAATTTCTTCCCTGATTGTTTGGTAGAATCCATCAGTGAATGCGTCTGGGCCTGGTGCTTTCTATTGTGTAACACTATTAATTATTGATTTAATTTCTGTAATAGATATAGGTCTATTTGGGTTATGTATTTATTTTGTGTGAGTTTTGGAAGGTTGTGCTTTTCCAGGAGTTGGTCAATCCAGGTTATCAAACTTGTGGGCTTAAAGTTGTTCATAATAGTCTTTTATTACACTTCTAATGTCTCTGAGGTTTGAAGTGATATCTATCTTTTATTTCTGACATGAGGAATTTATGTCCTCTCTCTTTTTTTCATAGTTAGCCTGGACAGAGGCTAACTTTAGTGAGCTCAAAAATCCAGCTTTGGGGTTTGTTTTCTCTATTGATTTCCTGGTTTCAGTTTCAGTGATTTCTTCTAAGGCAGATCTACTGGCAATGCATTTTCTCAATATTTGTTTGTCTGAGAAAATCTTTATTTTTCCTTCTCTTTGCAAGGATAACTTTGCAGGGTTGAATTCTAGGTTGGTGAGGTTTTTCCCTTGATATCTTAAATATATCTTTCCACTCTTTTCTTAATGCAAAGTTTTTCAGAGAAGTTGAATAGAATTCTTATTTTTGCTCCTCTTTAGGGAAGGTGTTTCTTTCCTCTGGCTTTTTTCAGAATTTTTTTTTTAAATCTTTTTTTTTTTTTTTGAAAATGATATGTGTAGGTGTGTTTTTATTGACATTTATCCTGTTTTGTGTTCTCTGAGCTTCCTGGGTCTGTGGTTTTGCATTTGACATTAATTTGGAAAAATTCTCAGTCATTATTGTTTCAAGTATTTCTTCTGTTAATTACTTACTTTCTTCTTCTTCTGCTATTTCCTTTAGAGTTAGGTTATACCTTATGTGGTTATCCCACAGTTCTTAGATATTGTAGTCTGTTTTATTCTGTTGTATGTTTCTTGCATTTTTTTCCTGTTCACTTTCAAACTTTTGGATGTTTCTACTGAGGTATCCTCAAGCTCAGAGATTCCTCGTCCATGTGCCATCTACTTACAAGCCTGTCAAAGGCATCTCTATTTCTGTTATAACATTTTTGATCACCAGCCTTTTTGTTGTTGTTCTTTATTATAATGTTCATCTCTTTACTTTTTTTCCTGTTTCTGCAAGCTGTCTACTTTATCCACTAGAGCTCTTTTCTTATAAATTTGTGTGATATATTTGCTGCCTCAGCACCCATTTTTAAGCCTGACATTAATTTTTCTGAAACTCAGTGATAGTTTGTCACCTTTGGATTAGTCAAAACTTCCCATCACTTAGTGGTTGTAGATAATATAGTCCACTTGTTTCTTATCTAACAGATCCAAAACTCAACACACTTCAAAGCTGCTGACCATAATCAAACATAATGGTTAACACCAGAGTCTTGTAAATAAGCCCGTTCCTTGACATGTGTTTATTTAAACTAAGCAATCTACAAATCCCATGGCAAAGCCTGAGGGATGTCCGTAAACCCACATGCCTATAAATAAAGGCATAGACTCACAGGTTCTATTTCTTTCTCACTTCCCACCTGCTGGTTGAACTCCTTGTCGCCTCCAGGATTCCTTTGCCCTTTGGATGGCACTTCTAACCTCTCAGGAATCTGTAAGTTATATATATATATATATATATTTTTTTTTTTTTTTTTTTTTTTTTCTGTTGTAAGCATTTCTGTTTCACTTCCTCATTGTGTCTCACCTCACCAACACATCCAAACCTTACTTTCCTCTGGAAAGTGAATATTTTGCCTTATGAACACTTTCAAGAGTGAGACTTTAAGATCAAATTAGAAAGAAACCATAACAATAACCTCAGCATATTAATCATAACTATTTTACATTGCCAGTCTGATAATTCCAACATCTCGGCCATATATGAGTCTGGTTCTGATGCTTGGTCTATCTCTTCGAACTGTATTTTTTTGTCTTTTAGTATGCCTTGTAATTTTTTTCCCTGATGGCCAGAAATGATGTACTGGGTAAAAATAAGTTTATTAGTAGGTCTTTAGTAATGTGGTGGTAAGGTGTAGGTGGAAGGAATGGGTTCTATAGTCTTTGATTAGGTCTCAGTTTTACAGTGAGCCTGTGCCTCTCAACCGTGAAATTCACATGTGCTTCTTTGGTCCCCTATTATTCCCTTCTTGGAACAGGAGAGTTCAATTGGGTTGAAGGTGGGCTTTCCCTTCCTCCACATGGAAGACTAGAGCTTGATGAAGTTGGGTCTCCCCATTTCTCTAGGTAAGTTAGGCTCTGAGAAAACTCCAGCAGGTTAAGCTCTTGTTAAATAGTTCCTCCTTGTGCAGGCTTTATTAACAGAAAACAGAATGCTCTGGAGTATTTCAAAATGGTTCATTTTTCCCTCTTCCTGATGGGAAGCATTAGGTGATTTTTTTTGAATATTTACTATGAGGACCTGGTAGAATTCTTGGAGGTAAAATTTATGAGTATGTGAACTCAACCCCCATGACTGTTTTACTATGGAATTTTTAGCTTTCAAACTTGTTCTTACTGGACCTCTAGCAATTCATCAATTATAGTTCAGGTTTCTCTACTCTTGCACTGGTTTCCACAGAGGTTTCAGCTGGTGGGTGTCTGCTCAGGTAAATTTTATTTCTCCGTATTTATCTGTCAGTCTCTCCAATTTGGGGGGGGCGGCAGTGGTTTGCCTCCAAACCACTTGTGTCCCTTGTCTTTTGAAAATAAGAAGAGTTGATTTTTCAGTTTCCTCAGCTTTTTACTTGAGATAGAGTGACAATTTGCAAGCTTCTTACATCACAGACCAGAAATCCGAACAAATTACTATTACCATATTCTTCTAAAATTTTAAGATGACCCTCCAAAATATCTCATTATTACTTTAATTTTCTCAAAGATATTTAAGACTTCTTCCCACAAACAAAAATCATGAATCTTGTGACTATGGTCTTAGGTAAGTTGAAATCCTATTTGCTGATACAACCTACTTATCTAAGCCTGTATTAATGATTAAAAATTGTAAGTTAATGAAGACTTCCTGAGGTTCTATAAAGATAAGTTAGGCAGGTTATTTTTCCAAAGAGAAATGACACTCTTCTCCCCATAGACAATCTGTACATTCCAACACATCACATGATCATACTAATAATAAGAAACTGACAAAACTACTGATTTGCTTTCCCTGGTCCATCTTTTTGAGGACTCATGGGAAATAATAGCTCAATAATCACAGACCATTTCCTTTTGCTAAAAACGATCATGATGTTACTGTGTAAAGAGCCTGCCTAATACCAGGGTATTAGCTACTCCTTGGGAGAAAGTAAGAATCTGTGTTAAGCATCTGAGATCAACAGGGAATAATTTAAAGCAACTTTTCTCCTCAAATAACCTACTTTAAGTTCCTAAAAAAGTTTGGGCTTTGGAAAGACAATAGGAGGAATGGAAAAAATCTAGGAGATTTCCAGATATGTATAGTAAACCTTTGAGCTCAGAGGTATCCCATACTCCATCTTTCTTCCAAAAATAAAATAAATAAGAATTTCCTTATTTTTATCTCCACACCATAAAGCAAAGGTGAAAACAGTCTTCATTTTTCATCTTAAAATGTATCAGGAAAAGATCTACATCATTATCTATTTCTAAAGACTTGGAGCAATAATATTTTAGAGTTTGTTACTAATACATATGTGATATTCAGGAAAAATTTATTTTCTGAAGTTCCAGAAATTCAATGCTGATTACCCATACAGAATCAAAGAAAAAGAAAAACAAACAAACAAACAAACAATTAGCTTATGTATGTGCAAATCTGAGTTTAGTTTGACTTCTGGTACAACTCTATCTAGGGAGACAATTAGTATTACCAGGACTCTATTTTCCATCTCTCGGCAAGGACCTCTCTATGACATAGTTATATGAGTGGCCAGAAGCCAAGGATTCCAAAGTTCCTGCTTTTGAAACTCAATCAAAAAGAGACCACATGTCCCCAAAACCTTGGCAAAAATCTAAAATATAAAGAAATATTGCAAGAAGTTCTCTGATATGTTCATCTTAGGCTCTCAGTTCACATCTCATCCATAAACAAATTATAACAGTAAGATATATAGAACACTATGCTTGGCTAAACATAAGTCTGATGCAGAGGGGTGCTAGCAAAGTTTGACAGCCAGCTTTCTGGGGTTGGGAGTGGGAGGTAGACTTTGATTTGTGACATTTTAAAATTTCTGTGATGTAAATACTCCCACCATGACCAATTCCAAACTGCTGATATGAAGTAATGAGTACATAATCAGGAAGAACTGCACAGTGGCTTAAAATTCCCAATTATAGTCAAATGTATAGAAAACTCTGGCTAAACCTAAGTCTAATGCAATATTGTGCTGGTTAAGTTTAGAAATCAGCTATATTGTATCCTTATACAAAATTATCTTATCTACCCAAAAAAGCGTTAATTTGCATTCAATGATTTCATATTTTCACCACTAATTTACTTAGCTTGTCTAATTCCATTATCTTGAATAATCTAAATTAATATTAGACTGAAGTAATGACAGTTGTAATACTGGTAATGTTTCTTACATTAATAAGAATTTTTCTAACGCTTCATCCTGAAGAGTTATGGTGGACTTTATTTTAATTATAAAATTCATAAGGGAGTGCTGGGAAGGGAAGAGCGTGGTCCCTTTAAATGATACAGAAAAGGGAAAGGGAAGTGCTGGGGAGAGGAGGGCGTGGTCTCTGGCTAGGGCTCCAACGGTCAGGAACCTAGGTCAGGACAGGCACACCTGCTTTCCCGCCCAAACTTCGCATTTTCCAAGACCACCCTGGCTCTCCATGCCCCCATTCTGGGCCTATAAAAACCCAAGACCCTTGCAGGCAGATACACAAGTGGCTGGACGTCCTAATGAACAACACATCAGGGGAAGAAGACACAAGCGCTGGTCATCCATAGGAGCACCCCAGCAGAAGGACACGCTGACAGGCACCCGGAAGCCAGTAGGCCGTGGACCAGCGGGAGGAGGCGGAGGTTGGCCTGGGCAGTCAGGGGAGAGCCGGGGCTGCCGAGCACCCCAACTCCAGGGGAAAACCATCTCCCTTCTGGCTGCCCCATGGGCGGAGAGCTACTTCCACTCAATAAAACTTTGCACTCATTCTCCAAGCCTATGGGTGATCCGATTCTTCAGGTACAACAAGGCAAGAACCCAGATACAGAAAGCCCTCTGTTCTTGCCACAACGTAGAGGGCCTAATTGAGCTGGTTAACACGAGCCGCCTATAGATGGCAGACTAAGAGAGTATCCTGTAACATGCCCACTGGGGCTTCAGGAGCTGTAAACATTCACCCCTAGACCCTGCCCTGGGGTAGGAGTCCCACAGCCTGCCCGTCTGTATGCTCCCCTGGAGGTCTGAGCAGCGGGGCACTGAAGAAGCCCGCTATGCCCCCATCGCGAGCCCCGCGAGGGGGAGGAGGGAGCCTTTGCCTTTTCAACTGGAGACATCGACCGGGATCCTGGAAGGTGAGTGTGTATGAATTGCGAAACTGTCTGGTCTTCCTCTCTTCTGAAACTCTGCCACCTCTCTCTCTTTCCTGTGAGTAAGAGACTCTGTTTCCCTTCAGGGAGTTTTAAACTGCCCTAACCGGCCGTCAAAACCCCCAGACTTTAATTATAAAATAAGTAATGAACAATTCTTAATCAGTTATAATAACAATGATAAATTATGTTATTTATATATTAAGTTACAAATATAGGCTACAAACAATGAGTGCATATTTCTGTAAGCAAATATGCTATAGGATTTTAAAATAAATTACCTAATTTAATTATTGGATAAGTTTTATTAACTATTATTATAACTATTCCTTAGGTGAAGGCATAGAGGCTCTGAAAGTTCAAATTATTTGCTCTACTAACCAATATACATTTTCAATTATGAATTGGAAAATGTATGTCTAAGGAACTCAGTACTAAATTTTTTTTCATGTATCAAGTGCATTTTTAGTATATAAGGAGAATATGCATTATATGTTGGCAAGAAGATGTTGGGATAAATCAGGAATTATTTTTTATCGATCCTGGTCTAGATATACTTTATATGTATTGTTACTTTTTTTATCCTGACAATGAAGCCTGTGAATAAGAAAACCATTAACCGTCAGAGAAAAAAGCCATTCACAGGTATATAGTCATCTATTTTAATTAAGCATATTATATTTAATTAAATATAGCTAATAGAATTTTCTAAATTTTACCTTTTGTTTTCAGTTTAGAGACCACCAAGAAAACAATGAAATAAAATTTACAGATTTATGCCAATTATTTGTTAGAAATGCCACATTGGAAATGAAAGCCACAAATATCAGTACTAACATTTATGCATGTCAATATCTAAGAAGCATCTGAACTCTCTTTTTTATATTTTGCTTGAAGTGTCAGAGAATACCTTCAACAAAGTTGATGGAAAAAGTTCTCTCGCGTATTGATTAGACGTACATAAATAGGAATCTCATGATTGGAGAATAGAGGATACTAATGCGTAGGCTATCTCCCATCTTCCCACTCAAGTTAATCACAACTTTTTTCTTTAGTTAACTCCTCCTTTGTATTCAGAAGTGAGTTTAGTCGTCTCCTAAATCTTTTCTCTTGCCTCCTTGATTTGTTCAAATACCTTTATGCCATCATAAGAATATTCACTTCTTCTTCAAAGCTTTTTCTTAGTTATAATATTACATGCATTTTTGTAAGTCTTAATGTTTGTCTCATCTACTACATGGTGAATTTGAGGAGAACAAAGATCATGCGTCTTTTTTGTGGTTGATATTTTAACATACTCTAGCTCCAGGACAGTGTCTGGCACATAGTACATAGGTAATAAGTATCCAGGAAATGAATGACAAGATCTATTTTCTTAAACAGAAAAGTATTTGTGAAATATTACTCTTTCCTTGGCAAATAAAAACCATGAAAACAACATTTTCTATCAATTGGGCAAGGATCTGTGATGGATTGATGGAAGGAGTAAACAAAGGAATAAAAATAATTGAGGCCAAAAATCTATTTACCATAAATTACAAATTCTATACTTTGAACTTCTCTCTTGCTTTTTTTTTTCAAATATGTATAAGTAGCTGCGGGATGAATAAACTTTTTCACTTTTGAATTATCTAGTGATTCTAAACACAAAGGACCCTGGTAGGATTCAGAAAACGTAAGTTGCATTCAGAATTAGTCATTGAACATATGTTATTGTGGTAAGTAGTGAGCAGCAGAATTAGAGTTTTGATTGAAAGTATTTTTTCAAACCTCCTGTAAGACTGTTAAAGCCTTTTTGTTTCTGTGTGGGTCTTAAACTGTAAAACCTACCAGAAATTTTTACTTTTTTAGTTTGCTATGCCTAGGAAATGGTTTAAACAATTTAAAATTTTGGAAAACAACATGTATTTTCAACACATCGATAAGTCACACACACACACACACATAAATATGATTTCTGATTAGCGCTAGGAGATTATAAAGCTGAATTGTTAATCTATTCAGTAAGAGATTTTCACAAAATATATTGAAAAAGAGAAATAATAAATAAAAATTATATACCAATTTGACTGTTAATTTATGCTGAGGTATATAAATGATGCTACAACTTTCACATCTGGGTCACTCTTGTTGAGAAATGCATAAAGGAGGAAACAAAGCATATAGAATACATGCTAGAAGAAAATGCTTTTTCAACAGAAAAGAGGTTTGCTTGTTAAAAGACAATTAAAAAAAAATGGATCAGCAGTTGCCACCTTACACAAGTCAGAAGGATATTTATAGCTGAATATTCAGCCTGTAGCTTTCCATAAAAGTTTTAAATATACATTGAAAATCTGAAGGATCATCTTCGAAATCAACCCTATCCATTAGTAATTTACAATCTATTTACTCTTATTCAATTCTAAGTATGTCTGTGAGATTTTAAAATATATTCAGTGTTTCCCATTATACTTGGAGCTTTAGAGTATTTTTTCACTCTCCATTTGTGTATGTGAGTGGCTATAGGAGTGTTTCCTTGGAAGTTGTAGGTGGGTTTTTAGGACTGTTATCTATGAGCATGCATGGCTATAAACGCATTAATTGAAGGGTATTCATGATAACAGGACAGCTCTGACATTGTTTTTGTCTTGTAGGATTTGCTCTTTATTTGGTGATGTAAAATTTATCGTGGTCGCATTTTGTTAATGTTAAAATATTCTTCAAGAATTCATTTAACTAAGATTGATCAGAATAACTATAACTACAAAGAAATGATATCATGAGGAAAAAATCTTTTTTGAAATACCTAATTATCACTAGTATTAAATAAATAAACCTTCAAATGATTCAGCATGTTATGGCTTCCGAACTTTTTTATATTCTACCTCAGTGCAACTATAAAACAGAGCATATTATACAGTTCATCATGCCTAGATCAGAGGACTGGGGTTATTCAAATGCTATAACTATGAATACTGCCACATTTTGTTTAGTCCAATTTAGCCTTCTATGTCATGGTTACTTCATTTTAAAAATTAAGATGATTTTTAGAAGAAGATGGTTTATGTGATTATAAGTTTTTAATTAATTTTGAAATTATACAAGTCTCTGAGGAGCAGAGCAAAGCTCAGAGAATAAACGATACACTGAATGAACTAGTTAAGTAGTGGAATCTGGAGTATCCCTAAGTCATCTGATTAGTTTTTTGTGAAAATCGGTAGAACTCTGTACGACAATCGAAGGATTAAAGTGTATATATATATATATATATATATATATGTGTGTGTATTTCTTTGTGATCCTTTGATATAAATAATAATAAAGTTATTTCCTAAGTACAAATCATACTAAATCTAATTCACGTCTAGATGCCAGATAAAATAACCAAAATAATAATGTCTAACATTTTTATGATAGTTATAAAATATTTTCTCAAATATATGCTCATATGTAGAAGGTGATTTGAATCATGACTATACATGCAATAAAAGAGTAAATTTTGTTCACATAAATGCTCTGATTAGACCAACGCATTATTGTACTCTGAATTGGCTTTGAAAGCATTAAAATGTGTAATTTATGTAATTCTATGAGCTTTTTTACTTATAACATTTCATTATTTCGAGTATTGATTATACCATGTTCAGTAGTGATCTGTGACAGGGAGGATACAGAAAATAGTACATATAGATAACGATACTTATAACATGAAAACTTAATTTCAGACAAGAGATTCTCAGTCACAAAATTCCCTAAAAAGAAAATGTAATCAATAACAATGTTGGATGATTATAATTCCCATATTCACTAACTAGAGGTTTTATCTGGCGAACTCATCCTCAAATGTTACTAGTTTTGCATGTCCTCACTCATAGTATTGTGATTAAAATTTTCTTTGTTTTCTACCCCTAAATACAGCTAAATTTGGTAGAGAAATTAATAGACAAATACATGCCCCAGGTCCTGACAGAAGCTGTGTAAAAAGATAGAAAAAGAGATTAGTAAGATTCCAAATTTTTGGTAAGTTTTATATCCACATTAAAAACAGAAGAGAACATAATTTAAGTTTTGTTCTATTACCTAGTAATACTGTAATATTATTGGTTAGAGGTTAATCAGCTCCCCTTCTTGCACAGCTAATTAAATTCACACTCCAATCACTTCCCTTACTGGGCTCTCATATACCCGCCACTATGCACCCACCCTCACAGCCCTACTGTTATCCAATAGCATCAATCTGAAGTCACTAGTTTTATTTTTAGAGTATGATCCCCAATAGAGGGAAGTTAAAGTGTGATAACTTTATTTAAATTAAGAAGACATCAACAATTCTACTTATTTTCTGATTTTCCAAGTACCACAGAATAGGGACAGGCTCTATGTCCCAGAACCTGGACAGTTTTTCAAATGAAACATACAAAGGGATCCATCGAAACGTAGCTAACCTTATTTCACTTGCCATATACAGGCTGCTCCTGAGGATTCCAGCTTGCTATTACCCTGTCTCTGGTATAACTCCCTGTGTGACCCTGCCTGGCAGCCTTTTCTCATTTGGAGGCAAAAATAACAAAGAAAAATTGCCTTTCATCTATCTAAGTGTCATTGTGTTGTGTTCACCATCAAAAGAATCTGTAACTCTTATAAAACACAGCCTTCTAAGGAAGGATCAACTTCCTTAGAATGCAAATGTGAAAAATACAATTTACAACTGTAAGAACCATGTATTGGGTATGTGCCGGAGAAAATGAATTTTCCACCTAGAAATAATCCATGTTTTTTAAAAGGAAGTGAAAGAAAAATTGAAAATTAAATTATCGGAAATCTAGAAAGAATGATTTCTGAGGAAAGAAACTAGACTTAACATAGTAAATATTTGCACCTGCAAAATTAAAGAAATACATAACCCCATAAATATAGAATAAAACAAAATTTTACAGAAAAGAATACATTCAACTTGAATTTACATATTAAATCATATTTCTATAGAGTTGAATAACAATATGGTGCGACATTTTCATATTCAGTGAAAGGTAACTTTCTTATGTATTAAAAATTAAAAATTCTCAAAGAAGTGGCAGAAATTGTACAACTTATATAAACTTTTTAGTATATGTGCTGCCAAAGCGAGCACAACTTACTTAAACTTTTTAAACATTTCATATATATCTGTTTGATGTAGTATTCAGTGTGGCCTTGAAAATTCACGAAAAATAAAATAAAAATAAGAAATAGAAAATTTTTAGCATATAGACTTAATAAAACAAAAGAATTACGTTAAGAAATATACATAAAAATTGAAAAGATTCTTTTTAGATGAAAGTTAAAGAACTATTAAATAAGTATCTAAAAATATCAATTTAAAGTCACTATTTTTATTTGAAAAGTATGATCACCTACAGAGAGAAGTCAGAGTGATAACCTTAGCTAAATTTAGAGGGCATCAGCAATACTTCTTAATTTCTGTTTTTAAATTTAAGATGTAAATAATAGTGTATTTTTAAAATATAAAAAACAATCTATAACTATGATAAAACCAAGCTGTGTAATTAGTAAATCTTGCTGAAAACAAATGGTAATAAAATGCATAAGCTGAAGGCATAATATTTAGTAAAGATCAAAACAAATGTAGAAAAATAGATGCAAGAAAAAAGAACAGAAATTATAGCAGATGTAAATATAAACTCTAAAAGAAGGGAAATTATTTAAACATTAAAAGGCAATTCTTTAAAAAGAAAAATTTTAGTTGTTGAAAACTTGCAAAACTACACAGAATCAAAAATAAAGATACAGATGTGGAAGAAGACATTAAACAGTTTGGAGAATAATGTGTATGGGTTTATGAAAATAAAGAAAATCTAGATTAAAAAATTCTAGCAATTGAATGAACATTTTTCTGTTCATTGCTTGCTAGTTTGGGAATAGGAAGAATCGCTTAGCCTTCATTAGTGGCAAAGTTATGCTATTACATCACCCTGTTCTCCATTCCAGACAACTTTTATTCTTACAATTTGCTAATACCCTTAATGTAAGTATTTTGATAAATCTAAATTGTATTTTGAACTCGAATCAATCTAGTTCTTAACAAATCTTTATTGCTAGAATCAATATTCATGGAAGATTCTAAAACGATGCATACTCCTTCCATCTGCTGTCAAATTTTAATTTCATCTTTGTTTTAAGTCAGAGCAATAGAGAACAGAGCTGCTTATTTAGGCTTTTGCAGGTGTGTACTTAGCAAACTCTTGGCATTATGCCATCATCCTATTTGGAGAGACTTTTTAAGGCAAGGAATTCTGAAACTTCATAATATCTTTATTTCAAGCATGCCAAGGAGAATATTTTCCTCTATATAGTAGCATGCCATGTATATGAGAAACCATTTAGACAAAAAAACCTGTGATGTTGAGTAATTCATATGTGTAATTAAGCATGTCAAATACTACCTATGCAACAAAAGTGACATATGCTAAATAAGCCTGCAAAATACTAGTAAAACTATGCCAAACACATTTCCTAAAAGAAAATTGAATTTGACTACAATTTTAAGTGGTGTTATGCTTAATAAAATCTTAATGTCATAAGTTATTATAAGTTCTTTATTTTGTGTTTTTCACTTGGAATTTTATAGGACTGAGTATTTTTATTTTGAATAATAATTCCCTTTCTGCTTTGTCTTCTAGGAATCTGATAACCAAAAGTTCTATTCACCTCAAGTAATGATGATTACTTTTGTAGCTTTCAGTTTGTATTCTAACACTATGACTCTCCTTACATATTTCCTTGCCCTTATTTTTCTACTCCTGTATTTCCTTGTTTAAGTTTGTGTGGTATGCTTTACTGTAAGGCACAGCAGATTTTTCAGCGTGTCAAAATAACAATGAAATGGGCTTAAAACAACAATTAATAGTATAATCTGACCATCAACCAGTTAGAGAAAAAAAGCTATATCCCTCCCAGCCAATTCTAAACTATTTTTGTAGTTTTATCTCCTATTTTTGCAGTTTTATCTCCTACAATACAAAATAGAGTCTAACTGAATTTTTAAATGTCTAAAATGATTTCCTACTATAAAATTCACTGATTTAAGTTTGTTCCCCTCTTCTGCTTTTTTTGAAATATACATGGGAGTCTTTAATGAATAAGGGGTGCTTTAAAAAATCTGTGTACTTTCTATGACATATACTTATATTTTGTATTTCTACGTTAGTTAATGATGCAGATATGGGTATTTTAAAACTCGAAGTCCATGGCCCTCATGGAACTTATTTTCTAAGAAATGAAACAGGTAGTTCAGTTGACCCTTGAACCACTCGGCTTGGAGCTGTGTGGGTTCACTTATAGTCAAAATTTCCTGTGCCTCTGCCACTCCTGAGACAGAAAGAGTAATCCCTCTAATTCCTCCTCTTCCTAAGCCTAATCAACCTGAAGATGACGAGGATGAAAACCTTTCTGATGATCCACTTCCATTTAATGAATAGTAAATATATTTTCTCTTCTTTATGATTTTTAATAACATTTTTCTCTAGCTTACCTTATTATAAGAATATAGTATAACAAATGTATAACACACAAAATATGTGTTGATCAACTGTTTATGTTATCTGTAAGGCTTCCAGTCAACAGTAGGCTACTGTTGTTAAGATTTTTTTTCTTTTTTCTTATTTTTTTTCTCCTTTTTTTTGAGACGGAGTCTCACCCTGTGGCCCAGGCTGGAGTGCAATGGCATGAACTTGGCCCATTACAACCTCCACCTCCTGGGTTCAAGCGATTCTCCTGCCTCAGCCTCCCGAGTAGCTGAGATTACAGGCGCGTGCCACCACACCCAGCTAATTTTTTGTATCTTAATAGTAGAGACAGTATTTTATCATGTTGGCCAGGCTCGTCTCAAACTCCTGACCTCATGACCCTCTGGCCTCGGCCTCCCAAAGTGCTGGGATTACAGGCATGAGCCACTGCACCCGGCCAGTAGTTAAGACTTTAAGGAGTCAAAAGCTATATACTGATTTTTGACTGCGTAAGAGTCAGCACTCCTAACCCCTGAGTTTTTCACGAGTCAACTGTGTAAAATGCAAGGAAGTGTGAGAACGTCTATGTGGGAAGTCTCCTTAGGACTTGGGAACATTAGGGAAGACTTTTGTAAAAAGTGGTATGTGTGCTGAACTGTGAAGGATAAAAAATAAAGAAGACGAAAGAGAGTATTAAAGGCCTAGAGAAGGACATACACTAGCCCAGAGACAGGAAAGAGCAGTGAAAGTTCATGTTTTTTCCTATGGATTCATATTCTAGGAGCAAGAGATAAAACATGGACAGAGAAAATGGGGCCAGCTGAGAACTTGGTAAAACTATGATTAGAAATGTGAACTGTATCTTTTAAAGCACTGAGGCTGTGTCTCTGATTTTACTCCAAGTGTGATATGATTTGAAGTACACTTGAGAAACATTTCTTTAACTACACAGAGGGGCTGCCTTGCAGGAATGCAAGAGGAAAAGTGTAAAACACTTTAGTGGGCTGCTTCAGTCATCTAAGACAAATATACTAATAAGTCATTCATAAAATATCCTCGTAAAAATTAGTTACCATAGCCAATTTATTAGTAGTAATGACTTAGGAATATCAAATCTTGAATCTAAGCTAGCTAAATTTGTCTTAATATTTAGCACAGCTGTGAATTGCATGTAATTTTCTATAATCATGATGGCAATTCTTAGGGGTAATGCCGTAAAACACATATAATCACATATGTATTCTTTTTTTTTTCTTTTATTATTATACTTTAAGTTTTAGGGTACATGTGCACATTGTGCAGGTTAGTTACATATGTATACATGTGCCACGCTGGTGCGCTGCACCCACTAACTGGTCATCTAGCATTAGGTATATCTCCCAATGCTATCCCTCCCCCCTCCCCCCACCCCACAACAGTCCCCAGAGTGTGATGTTCCCCTTCCTGTGTCCATGTGATCTCATTGTTCAGTTCCCACCTATGAGTGAGAATATGCGGTGTTTGGTTTTTTGTTCTTGCGATAGTTTACTGAGAAGAAAAACATTGTTTTCCACTCGAATTATAAATCTTAAAGGCATAGCTTAGAGTAGGTGTTTTTAAAAACTCTTAAGTAATACAGGGATACCATATAGATGGGTTCTTTTGAAATTTACCAAAATTGTCTAAGTGTTCACTTAATGGCATTCGGTTTTCTTCATTGTAGGTTCAAAGTGTTGCAATGTGTACAAAATAAGAGGAGTGTCTGTGCCTTTGAAAGGTGAATGTTTGTAGAATCTCAAAGTTTAGAACAAATATTACCTATGCAACAAAAATGACATCTGCTAAGTAAGCCTACAAAATACTACTAAACAACACCAAACACATTTCTTCATAATAAAATGAAATTTGACTAGAATTGTAAGTGGTGTTTTGCTTAATAAAATCTCAATGTCAGAAGTTATTACAAATTCTGTCTTTTGTGTTTTTCACTTGGAATTATATAGGACATATTTGAGTCACCCTGATATTTTCCTTGAATTGTCTTATTTTTTATCCAAGTACTAAAATAAAAAGAAATAGAGATTTCATATTAAATGTTATTATATGGCTGTTTTTAGATTGGGATAGATGGAATTTATTCATATTAAAAGCAAATCATGTGTAATTATTTTATGTTAGGGAAAATGAGTAAGATCTTTGAAAAATAAAGCTCACAAGGCTTAATTTGCTGCTTCTTTTTACATCCTTTCTGTTTACCAAAGTGTCTTCAATATATGAGTGTTTCTGATGAAAATAGACATATAGATTTAAAATCATTTTTAAAGATCCTAAAATATAGGTTATATAACTTCTAAAATACTGTTTGTGCTTCCTGAAAAAAATTAGATTAATGTACCTTTAACTCTGAGAATACAAATATTAACAGAGCATTTCAGCATACTATATCTGGTCTACATAAGGAGCAAAATGATTTTCACTGACATCCAACTGGTTATTCAACACATACAAATCTGCTGCCTCTAGACTCTGGTAAAGTTTCCGTTCTATAAATGGTCATTAGGGTGTTATGTGAATAAAGGCTTTTTAAAAAATGGTGGCCTGAAATTGTTTTTGTAAATAAAGATTATTTCTCAACAGAGAAATCCACTATAGTTGAAATAGGTACTCTCTCTCTTATTGGTGAAATTTGTCAGGTATTTTAATGTGAAAAGAAAAATAAAATAATAGAATACTAATTTTATTTGTTCATGTAATAGTACCTGCTTTTGGAATCTGGTCAACAAGATAAGAATGCCCTAATCATAAACAATTGTACAGAGAAGCTGATATGCATTTGTAAGATTGCTGCTTCTATTCACTGGCATTTTAAAAATTGTGAGAAAATATTGGTGGTAATATGTTATAATCAAGACTTTGAGCAATTATGTATGTAACTTGAATATCCAAGACAATGTCCCCATAATTTTGTAATAAGTGTGCATGCACAATATCAAACATATAGTTATGCATGTATATGGATATGCATATACTTTTAAATTTTAACTTTGTAAGTTTAACGTTAGTACTAAACCTATCATTTATATGGCTTTTCTACCAGTTGGAAAATGAGCTTCTCAAAGACAGATTGTGTTTTATTTACCTTTATGTTTACTGGACCTACCTTCTCTTTCATATAGCAGTTACTCAATGAGTAATTTTTAGGAAACTGCATATTCACAAAACGGTAATATTTATTTTTTAAATATTTTAGGACACAGATTTAAATGGTTTGGCACCTCAGAGAGGTTAGATAATATCTGAATGAAAGTGTGACACATTTCAAATAAAACTAGAGAAGTGTCTTATGATTTCCTCCTCCCTACTTTGCCATGCTCTTCCTTCTTTCCCTGAAACATTCTTACCAAATAATCTGCCATATCCTGGTCTCTAAGATACTTTAGCAAATGGGAAAAAAGTTTGCAGCACACTACCCTGCTCTTGTTCTTGTTTTGTTTAGTAATTACTAGCCCATTGTATCATGTCTGCATGTTTGTCTCCAAAAATAAAAAAGGCAATTTCTTTGAGTGTTTCACTAAATTTTGCTCCCCAAAATACTGCACTTACTCTAATATTAGATACATGTTAACTGTTCTTCAACTTAATGAATCAATGCATATGCAAGTGAAACCTTGAAAATAATGATAAGCTATTTAAAACTTGCAAAGCTACTATGCATTTACAAATGTACTGCTCCCATTCAATGATAATATATGTATTTGTTGAGAAAATACTGTGCAGGTGTGTTATAATGAAGACTCACAGCCAAATAGTTATGTCGTGAGAGAGTCTGAGGCAATGCCTTCCTTCTCAATGAGACTCTAAGGCAATAAAACTGTGTCCAGTCAAACACAGAGAGGGTCCCAGAACTTTCAAGGCTGAGAGGAATCTAAACGGGCATCTGTCATCTCCTCAAAAGAATTGACAGGGAGCTCAATATAATATTACAGAGCTGCATAAATGTTTTTTAAAATGTGTATGCAACAGGATTGGGTGTTTATTTAAAAATATACTCACTATTAATATTAAATTAAAAATAAAACCTTAATCATTTCAATTAAGAAATACCATGATTTGGAATGTGCTTTATCATGTTGTCAAAATTTAAAACCTAATTTTCTGTAATAATTTATAATTACTTCATCCTTCATTCCATCTGGAAGGTAATCAATATAGAAGCGTATGAACCAGCTGCTGCCCCAGTGATGGGGCAGCTGCCAAGAGTGACCTTGGCTTCTGTCCAGCAGCAGAATCCCCAGAAAACCCCCTAGCTAAAGGAAATTGGTGCAAGTGCAAATACAGCTTTCTTTTACCTAGCATTTTCATTTCTTGGGATCTAACAATCTTTGGCTTTCTTGCCTCACTTTTCGTACCCATGATTTTACAAACAAACAACTGTTTATTAAGTTTTAAATGTATATGGCACTAATACATGTAATTACTTCGAGGTTGTAGATATAATGATTTATGCAAACCCCTTTTCTTGGCCGTCAAAGGCATGCCTAAGAATATAAAAACTGTAATATAAATACAAAACAGAAAGGAAAACAAAACTGCATCTATCAGGGAAAATCCAGTCATATAAGGCATATTGATCATAGGTGGAAATAATAAAGAAAGTGAAATCTAATAATTTAATTAAAATAAAAGATGTGGCCTTTTATCTACTCTTATAATAATCATCCCCAAAAGGAAATTATATATATGATTCTATAACCTCATTGTATTTGTTGTAAAAATGGCAAGCAGAGACTATTTTTCAGTTAAAAGTTTAAAAATCTAACAAATGTTGACTTTATAATAACAAGCACTTTATACCCATCATGTCAGATACTCTTTGTAGCAATAGTGTAAGCAGATTTCTAGTATTTTCTTTTTATAAAGCAATCAATTAACGTACATTAAATTAGGCAACTCAGTATTTCTGCAGCCTGTTACTCTCATGTTTTCCCACTAAATTACTTTTTATTTTCATTTTTTAATAATACTAGCACCTTTACCCTTTTTAATTCCTTAATACCATATTTTCAGTGCCAAAATTCCAAATAGATTTGCTTGGAAATAAAACAAAACCCACACACTTATTAATATCTTTAAGGAATGCTTTGGAAGATGAGTTGTAAAAGCTAATTGCTTCCAAAGATGGGCATTTAAGCAACTGTCATTTGTTTCTCACTTTGATTTCTTTTTAATTAGTTCCTTATTTTTAATGTATTTCCAAGATTTAAAATTTTTTTCATAGTTTGGCTTCAAATCCCTTGTTCTTATTTCCCTTGAGTAATCTGCTTCCCAGTGATAGAACAGTAATGAAAATGGTGTTTGAAAGACTCAGAAAAGTGTTACCTCCTTTCAACATTTTTTCTTTTCCTTAAAACTATGATAAAATATGTTTCTTTTTATTTTTAATCTTCAACTCCAGTTCCAATGGATACTTTACTAAAACTAGGCAGTTCAAGGGAGTATTTACTAACTTTCAAAATCACCCATATGTTCTATAAACTAGAATTCTATAATCAGAATAAGTTAGCTTGGCTTTCCTTAGCCCTGGTCTTTCATGATTCTTTCTAGAAAAGCTGATAAATTTTATTTATAAAAATGTTAGTTGAAACTCTGTTCAAATTATATTAAGTACTGTTTTACTTATTAATGAAATATTCCTTAGTTTGGAAGTAATAATGATTGAGATTTTTAAAATTTTAGATTCCTTTATAAATTTAGTAGTAATTATTAAGATTATACTAGGCTTAAGTATTACAAAGTCCATCCTGAACAATTATAATATTTAGTGTGTTTCAGGTACCGTACTTGGTCTTGACTAAGTAAAACACTTTCTTCTTAATTTTATGATTGTACATATTTTTGTACCTCTTCCTGCCTCTCTCTCTTCTCCAAAATTCCTCTTGAGTTACGTGCCTGCTCTTTTCTGTTGGTCTTTAGATTTACCCAATCTACCATTGGGTCTTTAGATTTACCCAATCTACCATTAAAAAGGTTTGTCTTGGCATATGTTTCATAGTTTTCTCTCTAGTCCCACCTGTGTCTCTAAACTAATCTTACATTTCTAAATGTTTTCTGGGTTTCCAAAACTATGGATATTATTCTGAATGCTTAAATTCAGACTTCTTTGACTCAACTTCTTCTTTTCCTCATACCTTTCCCAAATCTTTGTTTTTCTTATCCACAACTTCTTTCCATTAATGATCCTGTTGTTATACGTTGAATTATACATTTAAGTCTTAACATCCAGTACTTTAGAATGTGCCTTATTTGGGGGGGAAAAAAAGGAGCTGTGGCAGATATAATTAGTCAAGATTAGATCGTACTGGAGTAAGGTGGGCCCTTAATTAAATATAACTGGTGTCCTCATGATAAGAGGGAAATTGGGGGCCAGACACAGAGGAAAACCCATCTAAAGAGAGAAAGATACACAGTGAAATAACAGCCCTATGACAACAGGGACAGAACTTGTAGTAATGTGCCTACAAGCGAAGGAATGCCAAGGACTATTGGCAGATGCCAAAAGCTGGAAAAGGCAAGGAAGAATTTTCTCCTGCCGGTGTCAGAGGGGCATGACCCTGCTAACCCTGATTTTGGATTTCCAGCCTCCGTGACTTGGGGAGAACAATTTTTTCTTGTTTGTGGACTTTGTTATGGAAGCCCTAGGTAACTAATACAACTATCATATCCTGTAACTGAAATCTCAGTCATATTTTACTTAATAGTCATCCTGACCCTTCACTGTCAATAAAATTCTGAAATCTTTCAGTTCTCTTTTGATAATAATGGTAACAGACTTCACCTATACACATAGTTTGCCCCATCTAATTGAGATAGTAATAAGCCCTAACGTCCTATAATAGGTCCTAAAGTCCTATAATAGGCTTTTGTTATATCTTAGTTAAAAGCTTAGAAGACTGTGGTATATTGATAGTCTCAGTACTCTCCATTTTTCAGCGGCCCCTGGTTCCACACTCTTTGCTGTGTAACTTTGTAGTTCCCTTCCACCATGACTTTGCGCTCCACCATCAGGTGTATTTATAGCCAATAGAATGCTGGCCACTGTAATTCAAACAGAGTCTTAAATGAACTTGAATATTGGGACATTACTTTTTAACCTCTCCCTCCACTATCTCTGTGAAAATATGCCTGGTAGCCCATTGGAGAATAAAAGCCATGAGACTCAGTCACCTCCCATTCTGTTTTCTGCAGCTAACTCTCAGCATGTGAATGAGTTTAGTAGAAAACAGATAAACTACTCAGCTAAACCAGCCTCATATGCTGATCTACATAGTCATACGTTAAATAAATGCCTATTGTTTTAAGTCACTAAATTTTTGGCTTGTTTACACACACATACACTTTGTTACATTATTACTGTGACAAATAATATCAGGATCTGCATATTATGCTAAGGGAACTATATATATAGCCTCCTCTTTCCTTCTGAAACATATTATCCATTGCATCAGTTCACTCTTCATATCCTATAGCAACCTCAATTATTACTAGGGATCTGGGTTACGGGCATGTGTATGATTAATAACAGAGCATTTATAATAATACAATTAGATGATATGTGATTTTCCTACTTGATGCTTGAAGAACCTCTAATTTTATGAAATCCTTAAGAAAAAAACAAACATTAATTATAAATCACTAATATATAAATTTGTACTGCTTTAGAAATCTGTTCTTTAGGATAGACATGCATTTTGGGACAATAATTTATCAACAAAACTATTATCTCATAAATAACCCAAGAATATTATAGAAATATATCCTTTTCTGGGAGCCAAATTAGAAAACTTGACATCAAGAATAGTGCCAAAAAATACATTTACATTCCATAGTGTGCAAACAACTCTGTAACTATAAGACTAAAAAACTAAATTATTTATGAAAGTGTCAATTTCTGTATATAGAAATACCAATTTAGATTACAAATTTATGAGCATATGATATCTTATTGCAGAGTAAGCAGACACTCTAGGGATTAAGAATTCTCAAAGTAACCAATATACATATATATATATCGATATATATGTGTGTGTGTGTATATATATATATACAATGTCATCAGTTTTTGTCCTTGTTTTTCCAATTTTATAAATAAATGACACCTTCCAATTAAAAATTTCCATTTTTATGATATACCATTAATAAAAGTTATTTATATAATTTAAAAATGAATCTTTATACATCTATATAAAATTCTCAACTAAACTTTGGATTTTAGCATTTGCACAAAAGACATTTACGTGAAATTTTTGGCTTAGAAACTTATTTTACACGGAATTTATATTTAATTTCTATGCTTAGAAATTTTATTTTGAAACATTTGATCACTGATTTGATTGTCTTAATAAGGTATATTTTTGAAGTAGGTTAGCCTTGGGGACTGCCTTTCATAAAAAATACTTTATGAAAATTGACTTTGACAAAGCAATAGATAATCACACACACATACATTTTCTTTTAAAAATATATTTAGCATTTGTAGTTATGCTGACTTTCTACAATTATATATGCATTCATTCATTCTTTAAACAAATATTTTATGAAAATTTACTACAACTTAGATCCATTGTTTTGTATGGATCAAGAATACCATTGATATATCAAAGTTGATTTATTCAACTTTAATTTTAATAAATCATTGGAGTAATTTGCAACTAAATTTCACTAATTTAGTTAATGATGTCACCGTAACTACGTAAACCTTGCTCAGGTACATTTCAATAATGCAAGGAAGAAATGTCCTGATCTGTTTGTTTTAATTTGTTTCATTTTATTTTCAAGAGTTAATAAAAAATTTAAATAGCGTTCTTCTTTGAAAAAGAGTCCATAGAAGATAAAAAGATGAAGAAATAAAAAATAGATGTATAATTGTATACTAGTTACTTACAAATGGTTATAACTTGCAATTTCTTTTTAACTATTAAGTTTTAGTTATAAATTGTAACTAAGTTATAAATTAGTTACAAATGAGTTTGTACTGATTTATATTATTTTTGAAGAGTTCTTAATTGATCCAACACATTTAATTTTTCTTTAGTTCTTAAAACAACAAAAAGCCCAGATATGCATAAAATATGTTGTTGAATTTATTACAAATTTATGTATCAAAATATGCACTATCTAAAACTAGTAACAGGATGACTTGTTGATATGGGAGGGGAACAGGGAAGTGCTGGGTAGAGAAGGGGTGGGTACCTGGCAAAGGCTCCACCCTCGGGCCTGTGCCCATAGACCTAAGTGAGAACAGGCACTCCTATTTTCACACCCAAATGTTGCATTTTCTGAGACGACTCTGGCCTGCCACATCCCCCATCCTACACCCACATAAACCCAAGATCTTAGCAGGCACAGACCCAAGAGGCTGGATGTTGGAACCAGCAGAACAGTGATGATGGAACAATGCAGTAGAGAAAGTGAGAAGAGGATGGACGTCTGGATGCTGGGGGGAGTTCATCCAAGGGCAGTCAGAGAAGAGTCTAGCCACTGGGCAGCCTGACTCCAGGAGAGACCACCTTTCCACTCCATCCCCTCTCTTCCAGCTCCCCATTCATCTCACTGAGAGCCACCTCCACCACTCAATAAAACCTTGCACTCATTCTTCCAGCCCAAGTGTGATCTGATTCTTCTGGGACACTGGGCAAAAACTCAGGATACAGAAAAGGCTGTTACACTGGCCCCCTGCCCTTGTGATAAGGCAGAGGGTCTATTGAGCCGATTAACACAAGACATCTGCAGACGGCAAAGCTGAAAGAGCACACTGTAACACACACCCACTTGGGCTTCAGGAGTTGTAGACACCCACCCCTAAACACTGCGAGAGGCAGGAACCCAAGAGTGGTTCCCAGAGCCTCTGCACCTGCCCGTCTGCATGCTCCCCCTAGGGGTCTGAGCAGCGGGGCCAACGAAGAAGCTAGCCACACCCCTGCTGCACATTCTTACAGGTGGATAAGGCAACTCTCCCATTTCATTATGAATGTTTTTCTGTGGAAAAGCTGGATATAGTTATTTTATTCTCATTTTATTTATGTTCAACACAGTGCAATGTTTGTTAAAAATATGATATTTTGGCAGTTTCAACAAATAATTACTATATTCAATCATTTAAATTATATTATTTATTTACTCTCTTACTTTTTTAAAAATGCATTTTCTTGTGTATATTTGAGGTTAAAGACATGATGTTATGAGATACAGTCAGCAAAATGGTTACTTTAGTGAAACTAACTTATCTTTCATCTCATACAATATAGTTACTTTTTTGTGTGTGACAACAGCAACTAAGATCTACTTATTTAACAAAAATTCCCAATATAATACAATTTAATTAATTAATTCATCCTCATTTTGCATTACAAATCTAGACTAAATTCATTTTAGATATCTGCTATTTTTTATCTTTTTGCCTATGTCTAGTCTCCCATTTTCTCCACACCCTTCTTCCCCTTGCTCATGATTACAACTGTTTTATTCTTTATCTGTGTACTTGACTTTTTGTGGACTCCACATATAAGTGAGATCATGCAATATTTTTATTTCTATTCTGGCTTATTTCATTTAGCATACGGTCCCCCAGTTCTACACATGTTGTGGCAAATGGCAGGATCTGAATTTTTATGGCTGAATAGCATTCCGTTAAGTATAGATATACCACACTTTATTTATCCATTGATTCGTCAATAGATGCTTAGGTTGTTTCTATAAAATGGCTAGTGTGAATAATTCTGCAATAAACATTTGAGCACCAACATCTTTACAGGAGAGTGGTTTCATCTCTTTTCGTTATGTATACAGAAGAGGGATTGCTGAGTTCATGGTAGTTCTATTTTTAATTTTAGGAAACTTCATATTGTTTTCCTTAATGATTGTACAATCTACATTCCCACCAACAGTTCCTTTTTTTTTCTCCGCACCTTTGCCAACATTTGTTAGCTCTTGTGTTTTTGTTAATAGCCATCCTAAGAGGTGTGAGGTGGTATATCACAGAGGTTTCAATTTGCATTTCCATGATGATTAGTGATGTTGCACACCTTTTCATGTTTCTGTTGGCCATGTTTATGAATTATTTGAAAAAAATGTCTGTTCAGGTCCTTTGTCCATATTTTTAAACTAATTATTTGTTTTTCTGTGATCAAGTAGTGTGATTTACTTTTGATGGCACACTTTTATATTTCAAGTAAGTGTGCAGGTATAAATTTTGTACTGATTATTTAATTTTTATTTATCATTTAATGAAAATTTAACATTTTGCTTCATAGAATAACATTTTACTTAGGCAATACCATTCAGTACATAGGCATGGGCAAAGACTTCATGACAAAAACAACAAAAGCAATTGCAACAAAAGCCACAATTGACAAATGGCATCTAATTAAACTAAAGAGCTTCTGCACAGCAAAAGAAACTAGCATCAGAGTGAATAGGCAACCTACAGGATGGGAGAAAATTTTTGCAATCTATTCATCGGACAGGTCGAATATTCAGAATCTGCAAAGAACTTAAACAAATTTACAAGAAAAAAAAAACAAACAACCCCATCAGGGCAAAGGATATGAACAGACACTTCGCAAAAGAAGACATTTATGTGGCTAAGAAACATAGGAAAAAAAACTCATCATCAGTGGTCATTAGAGAAATGCAAATCAAAACCACAATGAGATACCATCTCACACCAGTTAGAATGGTGATCATTAAAAAGTCAGGAAACAACAGATGATGGCAAGGATGTGGAGAAATAGGATCACTTTTCCACCATTGGTGGGAGTGTAAATTAGTTCAACCATTGTGGAAGACAGTGTGGCAATTCCTCAAGGATCTAGAACTAGAAATACCATTTGACCCAGCAATCCCATTACTGGGTATATACCCAAAGGATTATAAATGATTCTGCTATAAAGACACATGCACACTTAAGTTTATTGCAACACTAGTTCCAATGGCAAAGACTTGGAACAAACCCAAATGCCCATCAATGATAGACTGAATAAAGAAAATGTGGCACATATACACCATGGAATACTATGCAGCCATAAAAAAGGGTGAGATCATGTCATTTGCAGGGACATAGATGATAATGGAAGTCATCATTCTCAGCAAACTAGCACAGAAACAGAAAACCAAACAGCACATATTCTCACTCATAAGTGGGAGTTGAACAATGAAAACACATGGACACAGGGAGGGGAACATCACCCACTGGGGCCTGTCAGGTGGTGGGGGGCAAGGGGAGGGAGAGCATTAAAACAAATACTTAATGCATGCAGGCCTTAAAACCTAGATGATGGGTTGATAGGTGAAGCAAACCACCATGGCACATGTTACATATACCTATGTAACAAACCTGCACATTCTGTACATGTATCCCTGAACTTAAAGTAAAATAAAAAAAAAATGAAAAAAATATATATCATTTTATTTATGTATTTATGTATTTATTTATTATTTTTGAGACAGAATCTCACTCTGTCGCGCAGGCTGGAGTGCACTGGCACGATCTCAGCTCACTACAACCTCTACCTCCTGGGTTCAAGCAATTCTCCTGCCTCAGCCTCTCAAGTAGCTGGGATTACAGGTGCGCACCACTATGCCTGGATAATTTTAGTAGAGACAGGGTTTCACCATGTTGGCCAGGCTGGTCTCGAACTCTTGACTTCAAGTGATCTGCCTACCTTGGCCTCCCAGAGTGCTGAGATTACAGGCATGAGCCACCACACTGAGCCTATTTTGAATCATCTCAAAACTTAATTCCTTTGCAATGTAGTATTTTCTTTATAAGTCTTCGTTAAGCCAGGCAGTATACATATTTAATGGGGCTTATCATATATTTGACTCTATGATGATACTGCTTTTGTCAAATGAAGCAAGTCAGTAGAATGCAAAGACTCCTTGGATTTCAGATTCAGAAATCTTACTAGAATTTGAGTTTTAACTGTGATGACGCACATCAAACAAGAGAGCCTCTATTCCCTCATATTTTAAAAAGGGATAAATAATGCCTACCCTTATGAATTCATTATGGAGTTTAATTGAGATAATACATATGAAAATATCTGTTTAATATTTGCTCTGTAATCCAGATTTTAGTCATTTCCCACACTTTTCATGGCAAAAGAAGCATGTACAGTCTATTCTAATGAAAACCTAAGAAGCATTCCTGAAATCTCCTAAGGGAGTGATACAAGCTACCTGGACTCCATAGAACTATGTGGAAATTTAGCTTTCAGACATTCAGGACCCTGCATCAGTGACATAGACCTCCTGCCTCTTTTTCTTCATATACACTTCTTGAATTCTCACAACTCGATACATCTTTTCACCTTAGGTATTTCAGTTATTTCGAGTTATTGTGAGTGGTTTTATGTACTACTTTACCGAAATAAAATCTCAGCAACTCTCTGCAAAAGGAATTTAACATATGATTTGGGAGCTGCCTATCAACAATCTGAACCCCCTGATTAAATAGCGTTTACATTTAACTTAGGAGAGTTCCTGAGTTTTTTTTATATACATAATATATATAATATATATTTTTTAATTATTGGGATGAATGAATGATATTGTTAATGTAATTATTTAAATTTGATGATTTAAACCATGCTCCATTTTTATTGCTGTCTCTTATTTGCCTGGACATTTTCTCATTAATTCTGGAATAAAGTTGTATTAGGTCGCACAGTATCTATATTTTTCAGACACAGCATTCTTAGCAATGTAGACAAATAGTTAATTATATTTTTGGGCCTTTTAAATCCAAAAGATTGTAATCAAGCAACAGAAAAATCAAACTTACCAATTTGTATTAGAATGGGACTAGCAATCAATCTGATAATTTTAATCACATACAATTATTCTACCTTTATCTGAATATTAATCATTATAACATTTAGTTTCTTGAGATATATTATTAATGATACCAATCAAATAGTAGCTATGCTCTCAGTATATGCTCGAAATGCAAATCAGCATTTATGTACTGAAATTGATGAAGGAAGGAATTTATCTCTCCTCATTTAGTTCTTCACACTGAAGAAAAATGCTTATTTGTTAACCTAAAATTGACATATGTATTAACCTTAAATTGATATATGTGCTAAGGTAAAATTTTCCCCATACAGGCCATTTTACCCATATACCATCAGTGATCAATATTCCTCATATAAAATATATTTAACTATTATATATGCATATGTATATACAGTATATCCTAGGTATTTTGTCATTATATTCATAAAGGAAACTACTTACTTATATTCAAAACATACAGAGTACGACGATGTAAAATTTGTCTATTATTTATGATGAGTACGCAATTGTTCTACATAAGTAAAGATAATATTAGCAGAATGTGCACTCTAAGTATTTTTTCCAAAATTGGGAATTTTTTTTGCTGATCCAATCATATTTTATGGTCTCTCCCAGGGTCATTAAAGGATATGTTATTGGTAACTTCTGGAATGGAGCAAACACACTATGGCTTGTGCAAGATCAGAATGTGGTTTCATTCATTCATATCAGAATTGTATTAACCAAGCTAACCAAATTGAAGACAACGTTAATAGGCAAGAAGTTGGAAATTGTAGAGAAGAGGAAAATAGAAAGCCACTGATGTTGAGATGTATTTAATGATAATACAAAATTTAGAAGTGTAATAAGCCTTCAAGATCACCTATTTAACCTGTTTATTTTAATATATTAGAAAACAGATTTCTCCCGCTCAATAAAATATGTAACCTTCTCAAATGTATACATCTCATAAGGATTAAAGGCAGAGGCAGGGGAAACTAGAGCTCAATTGTCTTTATTCATATATTTTTTTTAATTTGCCCTTCTAATATTGTTTACTCCTACAGGACATAGAACAACACAAACGGTATTTATTCTACAATAGACTCATTGAAGCCACTCAGATTTTCTAGTTTTAATATCCTTTCTTGGTGATTAAAGAATAAATGAAATGAAGCAGAGGGGAAGGAATTCTTGATTATTAACCAAAAACAGGCAAAAAGGGGAAGGATCAAGAATATGACACAGGAAGAGAACACGCTTTTGGGGCTAGATACGTTTACATATGTTACTTTACATAATCCTCATGGCATCAAATAAGGCGGTGTCAATTTCCAACTTTTCAGACTGAGAAGCTGGCAGCTTTTCTTAGGTCACACAATCACAAAGCAATGGATTTAGGATTACAACAAATCAGCAGCTGGCTTTATAGAAGATCTGAGAAGTCATATCTGCATATGTTATATTTAAATTTCATGTCAGCTCCAAAAGAGAATTTCAATAACTTGCCTAAGGTATCAGAAAAAGTAAGCAAACAATCTTGAATTTAAACTTAGAAGAGCCTAACTACAACTTGTGTCAATGTTCTTCTTCCTGGACCACATCAGTTTTTCTGTTATTTCATAATTTGCTGCTCTCAACATAAATGTCTTTGGATGGTGGCATAGTTATTGCTATCATGAGAGGTGTTTTATGAATAATTTTGAAAATGCACGTAAAAATGTATTTTAAAAAGTATGTTAATGCATTTCCTTTGGATTTAAATAAAAACAAAATAAATGAAAAGAAGTTCCATTGAGGTGGCAGTATGTCTTTTAGTCCCCAGTGTACTGTTGCTCTCAGGACAAAATAAGGTTTAAAAAATATGTCCTTGATAGTTTTAAATATTTTAAAAATTAAAATACAATTTAAAATCTTAACTGCATATTGTACTTTGAAGGTTTCTGCTATTTGAAAGATAATGCAGCCTTGTCCTTCAGGAATGTCCTACAAAATGCATTTTCAAAAATTTTCTCTTTTTTCCAAGAACATTGTTCACAATTTACCTGGCAAACATTGAAGTCTGTCCTTCAGTTGCCTTTTAAAACATTAATTTTCATCTTATGAATAAGTCTTTAATGTACTTCACAATTAATTCTGATCTTTACTACTACATAACTTTAAATTTATTTCACTAAATAAATCTTTCATATATTTTAATTCCAAATTATGGGCTTAAGTATACTGTTGCTTCCTTACATTCCACAACATTCCCATTTAAATCCCACATTATTAATCAAGACATCAATTTCCTTACAAGTTCTTAGTAAGTAGAGAATTTCTGTACTGAATGAAGGTATTTACTTCCTGTATATTGTTTTCAAAGATCAATTGTTATTAAATTTGTATTGTAACTGATATGTTGGTATATACAAATATTCACATGAAAAATAATTTCTTTAACAATAAAATAATGTGCTAAAACAATAGACAAAGTATGAGTATATACACTATCTCATGAATAATAAAAAATAGTGCTAATACTCTTTCTACTGAAAACTTTTTAAATTGCTAAGTGAAATGTAACTTTTCAAAAACTTGTCATTTTTATCTGTGGTATTGAATTGTTATATAACTCTATTTCCAGGCACAAAATCATATAACTATTTGTTCTGTCTTTTATTTTCATATCTTTAGATTATTTTGAACAGGATATTATGACTGCCACTGTGTTTTTTTTATTTTTACTGTAACTACAGAATTATGTTCTTAAGCTTTTAAGAATCCATAAAGTTTTTAAAAAATAATTTATCTTTTCTGTGATGAACGATCATCGGTTATTACATCTAACACTTCTTTTTCTTTTCAACTTTCTAAGGTTAAATACTTCAACAATGATTATTAAAGAAAATATATTTCATTATGATATTTTTGCAAGTTTTCTTCCATTTGCTTTCAAGATTGCATTGTCACAAATTATGACATTTGTCATCTTTCTGTAAAAGAGTCTTCATGAGGAAAAGTGAAAGCCTATGTTTTGAAGCAGGGATAAAGAAGATAGTCCTAAATTTATTGAACTATAGGCAATTGACATGAAGCTCATAGAAATTCCTGAGAAGGACCTGTGGGGAGAGATAATCAACTATCTGATGAACATATAACTGTAAATGTTAGAGTTGGATAGTTAACTGCAGAATATTTTGCCTATTATATTTTGCTCCATATCAACGTTTAAATTCTGGGATCTCAAGCAGCTTCTCTTGTCCTTGATTTTTTTTTTTTTTAATCCAGCCAGCAGAGCCCCTTTCCCTTGGTTGCTACAGCTTATTTGTATACTAAGAATGCCACCAGTTCAACTAGAACTCATTCAGCAAACCAACCCCTATGGTATTTGAAGTATTTGAAGTATCGTAAAATAGTTTTCCACCCAGAATGATTAGAGTCCAGACAGGGGCTTCCATCTTGCCCTGGGTAACACTATGAGAACTATGCTGGGATGCCCTGGGTGTTCTGGGTGATCAGAGTGGCCAACCTGGCTTCCCTGCTCGAAACCACTTGAGAGTCCAGACCTAAGCAGTCTCCACTTTCATTGGCATGGGCACAGAGACACCTCTGCATTCCCCAGTTTTTAATTAAGTATGGTTAACTTTAACCTAAAATTCGACCAGTCTTAAGAATGTAGAGAATTTATAACTTTCACAAAATAGATATTTGGTTGATACCAATACGTAAATAAACCAACAAATAATTGATGTAAATTGCCATCCCACTGTGTCTAACCAATGTATTAAAATAAATACTAAGAATTTCACATGTAAATTCATGCACTGCAGATAGCTTTCTCCACTGTGCCCTTGTTTGTTGATACAGAAACTTAAGAAATACATCAGCAATAGAGGCTTCACTTTGCCTTACTACCAAAACATTCTGCTAGAATATAAAATAAAAATACATTGACTAGGGCCAGGCACGGTGGCTCACGCATGTAATCCCAGGATTTTGGCTGTCCAAGGGGTGTGGATCACCTGAGGTCAGGAGTTTGAAACCAGCCTGGCCGACATTGTGAAACCCCATCTCTAATAAAAATAAAAAAATTAGCCGGGTGTGGTGGTGGATGCCTGTAATCCCAGCTACTCAGGAGGCTGAGGCAGGAGAATCACTTGAACCAGGAGGCAGAGGTTGCAGTGAGCCCAGACCACACCACTGCACTACAGCCTGGGCAACAAAAGTGAAACTCCATATCAGAAAAATAATAATAATACATTGACTAAAACATACATTATTCCATATATGTCACAGGTTAAAGTTGTTTTGCAAACTATGAGCTGTTTTCTTTCCTATATGATTTTTAATACTTTTGAATGATACTTCTATGATGTGTTTTAAAAATAATTAACAGACTAGGTTTCTGCTGTATTTTTCTCTATCCAGAGCAAGTGCTTTTTTTGATGACTTGTTTGCTTAGCATAATAACTAGCACTGAAGGGCAATGCTATCAACATGCTTTGTCATTTGCATCTGAGTATTTGAAACCTAATTCTAAATAAAATTAGATAAGTCTTGGAACTATAAACTTTGCCTAACACCAAGTCAAGAATTACACTGCTTAATATGTAGCCAAATAATGACAAAAATAGTATATTATTTCAGTAAAAGGGCAACCTTAGAAAAGGGTCCATTAAGAAGCATTCTCATTACAATACAATAATTTCATTGTGTTTCCATCTCAATACCTAGCTTTTCAAGGATACTTGACAGAAGATTACATTTTCCTGATGAAATTCTGTAAGAATACTAGATTATGGCAATTGGATTCAGATCCCTTAAAACACAGTATCTGCATAAACTGAATATTTTTCTACACATGTATGCAAGGCTTTGCATTCTGCATTTTGTGTTTTGATTTTGAAAAATAACACTAACATAACTTTTGTTGGGTCACTGTCATTCTCATCATAAACTATTATTAGCAGATATGATGAGAGGGAAGCCACATTATCCACTTAAATAAGGTAATGCACATATTCCCAAGGCTGTGGTCCTAGCAGTCGTAACAGAAATCTCTGAAATAGTTCTCTATTTTTTGACTAACATGTATTTGTTTGAGTAGAACCATGAGTGCCTGAAGCAGTGTTAAAGGTATCTGTTCATTACTAAGTACAATATCTTTGACTTGACCAGAGGCTCAAAATGATCACAGAAGTCATTGACTCACAATCTTCTGGAACTAATATTTTGATAGGGATATCTAGGCCTTAGGCAGTGACAAAGATCATCTTGTCTTGTAATCCTGTATATCTGGAAGAAGTTTTGTAAAAATCTGACCCCAAAACTTCCACTTCATTTGCCACCTCATGTCCCCAGGTAAATGTACCCAAAATAAGGTTACCTAGTATTAGCCAATCTATTTGGCAATCCAGTAAATAATTTTCCGAAATTTTACTTCTGGTTTCCACAGGGAAACTAGGAAATAGAAAGGTTTTCATCCTCTGGTTATCCCTTTAAAGCAGTTTACTCCTGATATTTATGACTGAATTGTGCACTTTCCCATGCCCTGTTCACATCACCACAGTTATTACTGCCTTCTCAAGGAGATGCACACACTTCTTCACAGCACCGATTATTCCTGAGTACGCAGCTGCTCATACGGATTTAGGAATTTCATGCTCTTTGCAATGACATTAATAGGCAGCAATATCTTAGAAGACATGTCTTAACTATTATCATTTGGCTGCCTAGAGAGATAAATTTAGGGAGAAATTTTCTCATTGGAGAACAGATTAGTGATGAATAGCCATAATATGCTGTACAGGTGGAAAACAACGACAAAGAGAAAATTAATCTCCTCAATAACCATCAGTTTTTCTGTATATATGTAAAAGATCGTTTATAGATGAGATCACGAAGTAACCTTTTGCCTTTAGTGATGCTGATAGTTATTAATAGAGCGCTAAATTTACTTGAGTAATATGTCAAGCAGTATATTCAGCAATTCACATATATTTTTTCATTTAATCATGACAATAGCCTTGTGAAGTTCTTATTGTTCCTTTCAAAGAAGTGAAATGAAAGCACACAGAAATCATCAATTGCCTAAAGTCAAGTAGTGGAGCTGGAACTAGAACCTGTATCTCTTTGATTTCATTAAAAAGAATCCACTTCCCAGCCTCATCCGGATGAACACAAATTTTCTCAGTGATATAATGGGCCTACTAAAAAAATCACTAACCCGTTTACTCAATCAGCACCAAATAAAAACAACAGTCAAATTGTATTTATTAGAAAACTTTATTTTAAAGCTAACTCAGGCATGCTTTCCAAAGAGATGAAGGTTTGGAAAATGTGTTAGAATCTAATCACTAAAATAAGAACAATCAATGTTTGCTTGCTTTGGGGAAGACAGTATTTACTCCTTTCAATTATTTCCCAAAATAACCGGCTAAAAGTAGATGAAAAAGACCAATCAGCTGAGTACAGAAACCATAGCCTTTGTCCACATTGAAATTATACAGTGAGAATGTTTATTCCTGATTTCTCTTGCTTTCTTAGAAAGGAGTGACTTTATGCTCCATGCCCCAGGAAAGAAATGTGTGGGAGAGACACATCTGACTAATGCATTCAATAAAAAAAAAAAAAAAAAAAAAAAAAAGGTTGTGTGGTTGACTCAGTGTCTCCTAGGTCTTCTTTTGCATCCAACTGCTTTGGAAGACATATGCACCCTCTGCTGCTCCATAGAGTAAGTTGAAAGTCTGGCTTTCACCCTGTCAGGGAGCTTTGCAGATGTCCAGTGGCACTAGCGACTGCAGGACTAAGTCTACTTAATGCAAGGATGAAAGATTAGCAGGTCAATTTTCCCACATTAACTAAAGTTCTGATCTCTACTCACTATTATTTGTAATACACCCATCATTGTACCTTTCATCCTCCTGACGTTCTGTCCTGAGAAAGGTTAAAAGGCTTGTACGGTTTTACAGTTTTTCTTTCATTTCTTTTCCTTTCTTTTTTTATCTTTCCTCCAGGAAAGCTCAGCATCTTCTTGTTAAAAGAAAAACTTTAGACAAATTTAACAGAGTTTATTTGGCCAAAGAACAATTCATGTATTGAATGGGGCAGTGCCCAGAACCAGAAGAGGTGGACAGTGAGCTTTTAAAGGCTGAACACAGAATCAAAGTAGAAGCATCACCTGATTGGATACATCTAGATGTTGGCTCTATTGGAGCATGGTCTGAGCAATGGGCGGCCTGTGCTTGGCTGATTCTCAGCTGCTCATGATTGGCAAAAACTTCGCTGTTTGTTACAAAATATATTCCCAAATTATGTTTCAGTTTTATACTTAGTAACTCCTGCTTATTTAATTTAACACTACAGTATTAACATGAAGCCTTGTGAATATGCAAGACTGGTATTGAGGGACTAAAAAAGATTGAAGTTTCTGGTATAGTACTAGTGAAAGGTCTTAGAAAATGAAGGTCATGTTGCATTTCGAATTTAGCTTTTCACAGTGGCTTGTCCATGGGAGATTAGCTGTTTTTAGAGGTTCAGTGCTGTTTTTAATGAGCCCTTGAATTATTAAGTGTGGGTTGTACAAACCTTAATAAGCAATAATAATGTTCTCTGCAGTTGACATTGATCTGACCTAAGGCATGCGATGGTCCCTCATGACTGAACATGACCCCACCAAAGCTGAACAAATTTTACGTAGCATATAAATTACATTGAATAAAAGAAGACTTTGATACCTGCTTTATGCTCACTTAAGCCAAGCAAAAATTCATTAGACAAGCATTTATGTCATTGAAGTATGGATTAACTTTCCGTGATTTTCCTGTGCTTCTCAGCTATTACCTCACATTAGAATTTATAATTGCAAAGGGAGCTAAGTTCCAATTGAGAACTCCACAGTGTGACCAATGTCAGGCAGATGGTGCCAGCTCAGATGTTACACATTCTGCTAATCTTTATGTAGTTTGTAAATGCATTAAGGTTAAGAGGAAAACATCTAAAGGTAACAATCTTTAGCAACATACACATTGCCTTGAGTCAGAGTCCCTCACTTGGTCTCAAATGGGATCTGGATTGAGCCACTTCCAAAACTCTGATTAAAGTTTTAGATTTCAGAGATGCAGATTGTAGTTCCATCTACATAAGCTCAGTGGAACATATCATTGAAAAAATAATAGAAAAAAAGACTACTAAATTATAAAGCATTATCCATCAACTTTGATTGAGGCCAAACAGCATGTCAATAAAATTACTTTAAGTGCAAACATTTAGGAAAGCAATTTTAAAAGCCTCAGCAGGAACATTCTGTCTCTAGGAATTTATTTTCTCAGAAAATCTAAGACTTACTGGATTGATTTTAAAATATGCTTTGCTCTTGGTATCAGGAGTAGTGAAGAGTCTGGAGGAGGAAATAATTTCCATATGAGAAACGTGATTTTAAAGAAAAGGGGAAAAATTAGATTTTGGAGGTTAAGCCAGAAAGATATGAAAACAGACAATACACACCTGGGCATAATTAGTTTAAAAAAAAAATAAGTAAAAGAATCTTGTTTTGGTTCCTACTAGAGCAAAAAGAGTGGCTTGGTTCAAAAAAGCACATAACGGCAGAAAGCAAGTAAGATTTTATTAACTGGGAGTTTCATCTTCAAAACAGACCAAAAAATGTTGAGAGGTATCTTCTTAAAGATATGATGAAATAAAGAGTTCATTTTTTCAAAATGGTGAATCACAGTTTGAAGGTAAGGACTATGCAGTTAGAGAAGTGCTTAGAAAGATTAAGAAGTTAGAGAAATATTGGACACATTTGAGAAGGGAAGTCTCGTAAGATCATGGTGTCATATAATTGTATGATTATGGAGCGACTTTCAAGGCGACCCAGTGAATATGGGTGGGAAAGTATTACTTTTTGCTCTGAGGAAACAAGCACAGAGGAAATGAGCCACCTTGAAAATGAGCCGGCAAGAACTATAATAAATTATGGCCATCCCTGGTCTTATGGAAAAACATCTCCTTAGTGGAAAGATTCAGACCAGGGATATGAAGGTGCATAATATTCTTTTGAATATTCATTTACTCTTGCAAAGCCAAAACTTGCTCATTTGTTCTATCTCACCAAGGTGGCCTCACAAAACTAAAGCTAGAAAAGTTGATAGGAAATACAAATGTCTACCACCACCGCAGAGAGGGAAAAATGTATTTATATCTGACAACATTGCTAGCTCTAAATGTGGTAGAGCAAAAATAAAAAAAAAGTGAACTTAGATTAGATAGATTAAACTGCTAAAAGCTCAGTTGAGCTTTCCACAAAGCATAGGGAGTAAAAAGAAAAAATTAATAAATTAAGGCATAGCTTACTATTGCAGAAAAAAAGAGAGTAGAAATAAATGCTACTTGAGGCTGGAAATATTCAAAAACTGAAGAAAGACAGCCAGGGCTTTGAGATGTTTTACAGAGATACTGGTCACACACACGCACACACACACACACACACACACACCCCTATTTTTGGTACTATCCCAATAGCACACTCACACAAAAGAAATCTTAAGATCTGGGAACTGGTCCACAATCAGTGCAAATTTCCACACACTGCTAAAAGAACATATGCCTCAAATACCACTTTTTGAGTGAGGAGACAGCATGAGTAAGTGGATGACAGTCCTGGCTCTAGCTATTGAAGAGGTATCTGCTGAACAGCCATCAGAGTGGGTATCTACTCAGGTATCTCAGGAAGCATCTGGAGCTTCCAATGTCAAGGAGTTTAAGTTTTAGAAATGAATTTTATGTTTTACTGTAACAAGGACTATGGAGTTTGATATTTTCATATTTTACATTTATGTGTGAGTAAGAGCATTCAATTTTTGGATCGTGATTTTTTAAATAAACTCCATATAGGGAAAGAGCTTAAATTCAAATGTGCAGAATGTGTGGCTATTATCAGGTTATTACAATAGTAATTATTTAATCTCATCTATTATTTCATCCACTACTACTTAATTTCATCCCATAATCTCTGGTGAAGTACGTTGAAGATAGTGGTCATGCATAATTTGTGTTGAAAAACTAGGAAGAAATATTCAGCTTAGCGTTTAGCAAAGCCTTTAAGTTACTTTAATGAATGACTTGTTCTAACCCAGTGCTTCTCCAGCTTTAATGTACATAAGAATTACCTAGGGATCCTGTTAAACTGTATAATAATTAGATCTGGACTTACTGTGAAATTCTGCATTTCTAACAAGCTCTCAGGTTATGCTGATGCTTCTGTTCTGTAGCAAGGTTCTAACCCATTCCAAAACTCTCTGAGTCAAAAGCTATAGTCTTGCCAGTGAATTCAGAACTATCACAGAAGAAACGCTGGCATTAGGGCAGTGGCCTTATGACACTTGGAATAGGACTTTTCTAATAAATCACCCCCATCCTGTACTAAAGAGAGCTGCCACAACCAGGGCTGATTATGGGGTTGTTTGTGCCAACAAGTAAAAAATAATCTGAGGAGTGTTAGAGAAGAGTTAGTTTCCATTCCTCATATTTCAATAAAAGAGGAACATATGTAAATACATACCTACTTCCTAACGCAAGAAATAAAGGTATGGAAAGATTGTACTCTGCTTTCTACCTATCCTCTAACCCAAAACAGAGAAGTGACACATTTGCTTCAGGTTCAGGGTCTTCCAGGCTCTGTAGAGCCCCCTAGCCTGCCAGATGCCTGCTTTCTCAGATCTGTAGAGTAAGCTTTCGCTGGCCAAGAAGGCCATCGTTGCTCAGTCCGACAGACATCAGGTAGACCATTCTGTTTAACACTGAGGTGAAACATTTCAAGTCCAGGTGGCTATATTCTTAAAGCAACACTCATCAAATAGCTTTATCAGCAATAAAGATGCCATTTTTCCCCATCTATCTAATTCCAGTTTCTTATGTCTCAGAAAGTTTCAAATTCAGGAGGGGAAAATAGAACTCTTCATTAGTGACCACCTAAAAGACCAATGGTAAATATAATAGGTGTGAAGTGCCTCCTGATCTGTTCTTTATCAGAAGAATGGTTTTTCTCCTGACTCTAACTGCCACTGGGCTGAGTCCAGAGACCAGATTTTGAAAGAAAGAAGTAAAAAATAGGGTGCTCCTTTCTTTCTCTGTCTGGATTTTTAGTGGAAGAGGACAATTGTGGTAAAGTGATAAGGTTCCCCTACTTAATTGTTGCTTTGTCTATTAGTCCCCAATCTTAGCAACAGGCAAGTTTTAAATGTAACCAAATATGCACTCGGAACCTGAAGCACATGGAGCAAATGTCCTGTTTGCCTTGAACTAGCACAGAGAAAGAGTCCAGGTTCATTGAAGAACTTTGGCTTCTACATCAGTGCCACGCCCACCAAGGTGCTGGAAAGATTACACAGACAAGGAATGAAAACCTTTGGGGGAAGCAATGAGTTAAGATACAGATGCAATTCTATGCCCCCAGTCTCAACCTGTGTGTAGGGAGCAGGCAGCCTAGAAATAATTGCTTACTTCACAAAGTCAATAGGAAGTGCTGACTACATGAGCAAAAGGTTAGAGCCCTCGGATGGAAGAAAAAAAAAAAAAGGCTTATGAATGTGAGGACTTTAAGATCAAAGGCAAATGGAGAAAAACCACAGATCCTAGCAGTAGGTGTCAGTATATCCTGCAAAATACAAACATGACCTGTCCAGAGTCAGTGGCTACTTGTCTGGCCCCTCATAGCAGAAAATAGCACAGATACAAAGGACGTTCACCGATCTGAGATCCTTTTTAACCACAACAAAGGCACAGTAAGACCCCTGATATACACGGTTGCCATTTTGGGGAAGAGAAGGCGGGACACAAACTGAAAGAGACTCATGTACATAAAAGGAACTATTTAAACCAACACTGGTGGGGAGTTGAACTATGAATAGATGAACTATGTTAACAGGAAAAGACTGATACAGTTAACCAAAATATGTATCTTTAGAAGTGGCATGAGGTTCAGAAGAAATACCAGATCTGTTATGGGATAAATAGAAGCTACATTTTACATATTGACCAAATATGAAATAAACTGAGAATGAAAATATATTAGGGATAAAATATGGAGAATAATCTAATATAGAGAATCTAATCTCATACTAAAGGCATTTTAGAAATGGACAGCAATGAAAATGAAAGGCAGGAAATTTAAAAAAATAAGAATAAAAGCTAAAGAGAAATGTGGATCTTAAAAGTGTTTTTGCCAACCACACACACCCACAAAATTTATGTCTTTAAATATTGCTGTGAAATTCAGCATGTCAGTAATATGGGAATGATTATAAGATAATTTATAAAGAAAAAGCAGATTATCAATAATATGAACAAAAGCAGATGGGTCTCAGAATCCTTATCGCAAGAATGTATGTTGGATGACAATGGAGCAAGGCACTTCAAATTCTGAGAAAAGTTTTTTCTACTTAGAATTGAAAACTTTGACAAATTATCAATAATATCTAAGCCAGAACAATGGCATTGCAAAATTCCAAAAATCAGAAATCTATTTCTGGCACATCTTTTCCTAGTAAATTAATTATATCTCTCAAAAAATTTTAAAACAGAGGAATAAATCAAGAAAAGGTTTTGAAATTCAACCAATAATAATTCTGAACCTGGGGATCATTGGAAGAAAATTCCAGGATAATAATTGAAGCAGGAAAACAGAGTTCTCTGGGAGGGATGTCATGGGCATTTTTAAAAAGTTATAATATGCATCAGAACAATTATATAATTCAAAACTAGAAAAAAATATAATAAAGCAGATTAGAAGAAATTCAGTGAATTAATTTGAATAAGTGTATTAGGTATTAATATATTATACGTAGTTAATGTTATATATCTAATATTTAATGAGTAATATAATTGAAACTGATATGATATTAATGAGGAGAATGCACAAAACTAAAGGTTAAAATATAAAGCAAATTAAAATGTTGCATTATTTGGAGGAATGAATGGCATCTATGTTAGTCCAGGTAGCCAGAGAAGTGGATGCCATGACAAAATTAAACCTGTATTTTATTAGGAAGAATGATTGTAAGAGGAAATGAGGAGGAAGCTGGGATGACTGGAAGAGCATTCAGAGGGGAATGCAAGTCTGACTGTGAGTGAACAAGAGGGAAGTAAGATTGGTGGGAGCATCTTTGACTGCTGAGCAGTCGAAGGAAGATACAGCAAGTGCTCTAAGAAGACCTTGAGCCAAAGCAGTGATCAGAAGAGTCTCATGTGTCCCGGAAATGAGCCTACCTTAGTGAGCATCCCACACTCAGTCATTGCCCAAAAGCAGCCCCTGCAAGCCTGGCACAGTAGCTGGAATCCTTGGTTAATAATACATTCCCTACAGTTGAAGGTTTACAAGGGTCATTCTCATGGTTACCATAGGATGGAAGAAAAATAATTTGGTCCTAAGAATATTCAATGTTGACCAGTCTGGTGATGAAGACATGGTAGTCAAAGAAGAACATGTAATCCAAGCATGCCTCTTGGCTTTGCAGTAGAAATCTCATGTAGTCATAATCAAGCTAAATCTCTTCAATTGTTTTAAAATATAAAAACCAACCACACAGATTTAAAAAGTTAGTATGTTACAGAATAGCTGTTTTCTTACAAATGTAAAAATAATACTACAAATGTCAGAAATAGAATGGCAGAAGAGGAGCAAAGAAGGAAATGAGGAATAGGACAATTACAGTCTCATCTAACAAATGAGATGTCAGGAGATCATTTCTGTTGTAGACATAGAAAGAAATGTGGTTTAAATGTTTTATTTACTTTAATAATTTAACAAACAGAAAAAAATCACACTGCATGATAAAGAGTGTTTTAGTAAGAAAGAGAAAGTGTAGAGTGGGTGATATAAATAAAATCTTAATCGACTAGAGAGATAAATAGTGATTTAAGAATATTACTTAGTGTTATGGCTGTATTTACCATAACTGAAAACAAAAATAATTATTTTTAATTTTTTACCTCTGGTGAGTAAGCCTGGAGGTTGGGAAGGTTCAGTTTAGGATATTTTTGCTCTTGATTATATAACTTTCTATATAATAGATAGGTCTACCTATAGGAATATGATTTTTTAAAGTTAAGGAAAAAATCAAATAACTTTGTCATCCAGACATAACCATATTTCATACTTAGTGTTGAATTTTTGTATGTTAAAATTATGTAATTGGCCTTATAAAGTAGATATTGTTTTGCAAACTGAATTTGCAAACTGAATTATTAAACATATTTAAACTCTAACATGGTATCTTCATTTCCATTAACATTTACAACTAAATACTGTAATAAAATCCCTTACATCATTTTTAATAAATTGTAATTGTCTTTTTGTAATGAATTCTAAGAAATATTATTATATTAAAATCACAGACATTTTAAGTTTAAGATAAAGAGACATTATTCCTCCAAATGTGCGCATCATGTATTTCCTCCATTCTCAATCATGATATGTCAGAGTACCTGATCCCCACTTGTTACTAGATTTTTTTGGTCTTTTCCAATGGGTTTCTTGTTGTTATTTTTATTGCATTCCCTCTTCTTTGATAATTAGTAAAGTTCAATATCTTTCGTAGGCTTATTGGCTGTATTTTATGTTTTGAGTCTTGTGGGATATATATACACATATATATACACACATATACATATATACATATATATGTATATATACATTATGTATATGTGTGTATACATATTTACGGCAGGAGATATATATATATATTTTATATATATATATATTTTATATATATATATTTTATATATATATATATTTTATATATATATATTTTATATATATATATATTTTATATATATATATTTTATATATATATATATTTTATATATATATATATTTTATATATATATATGTATAACCTATTTTTCTATTACAATGCCCCTTTCAATTAGTTTTAACATGTAGACAATTATATTTATATATGCCCAAATCTACCAAGCTTTCCATTCATATTTCCTTCACTTCTTCTGTCCTTTGAAAGAGAGTCTCTGCTCAGTGTATCTGCAAGCTAAGTTGTCTGTATCTTATAGGTGTGTTTTGTCATTAAAGGCAAGTCATTGCCTCGTTTGATGCTCAGACAGACACAGTACTGCTGTGTATCATAAATCCTATGTATGAGTCTGCCAGAACACTCTCTCCCATAACAACACCAAAAACAGCTCCTTCGGACTCTCTGTGTGCTTCCTGGGAAATAAGCTTAGAACTATCAATCTGAAGGTATTATTATTCTAAACACACTAATCAAAATTTCATAAGTAGTTTCTAAAATGTTAGCCATGTATTTTTCTTTTTCTTTTTCTTTTTCTTTTTTTTTTTTTTTTTTTTTTGAGACAGAGTCTTGCTCTGTTGCCCAGGCTGCAGTGCAGTGGTACGATCTCGGGTCACCATGCAACCTCCGCCTCACAGATTCAAGAGATTCTCCTGCCTCAGGCTCCCGAGTAGCTGAGATTATTGGCACCAGCCATCACGCCCAGCTAATTTTTTTGTATTTTTAGTAAAGACGGGGTTTCACTAGGTTGGCCTGGCTGGTCGGGAACTCCTGACCTCAGGTGATTCACTCGCCTTGGCCTCACAAAGTGCTGGGATTACAGGCGTGAGCCACCATGCCCGGCCAATGTATCTCATCCTATTTCCTTTTGCAAACATCTCGTACCTTCAAAAATCATGTGCTCTATGCTGTGGATATTGTCCATAATGGTGATATATTCTGTTTTCTTTGGCGTTCAAGGTCACTTGAATTCATTAGGAATATTTTTGCTAATGTGGATTTTGAATTTTAAAAAATGCAGGAATAATGTGATTTAAAATAAAATATTAAAAGGAAAAACTATTGGTGAGAAAAGTCACGAAGTATTAAGTACTGAGAGCAGATAGAAAATGATTTGTATGAAATCTATCTATACATTTAGGAAGATAGCTGCCCTGAACTTTTTCTTAGCAAAAAGTTAAAAACAATTATATTTAATCTTTCTGATGAAAATGGTAATTTGGTTGCTTACATCTGACAAATTCAAGAATATATTCAGTCATAATGGACTTAGCCTTCCCTTTTTATCTGTAAGAGAACAAAAATTGTGATACAGTCTAAGATTCAGAGGAAATATAAATCCTCCTTCCTTCCACTTACCTTTTATTTATTTTGGGAAAGGAAGATCCCCTTCTCAGCAGCCCTGTGTGCCTCTAAATAGAGAAAATTTATAAGGTCATTTATTTTAATGATTAGCAATGCATATCAAGAACCAACATTTACATGCCATGGAGACAGAGTTTTTAGAAAAAACATGGAAGATCATCACATCATCTCAGATGTGTAGAGACAATAAACGTTGTTAGAAATATTCCTGCCCTATTATATAAGTAATGCTAAGAGAAATAGGAATTTTACTGTTTCTAGAAAAAATGGTTTTCTAACAAGTGAGAACGTCTACAGTGGTTATTGTCTACATGGTGAATTGCAGGAGAAGAAGTTTTTAAAGTGTGGGGACTTTACAGAAACACTTACATACTTGGGTTGAACGCTCACTTACACTATGAACAGTGCAGCAAAGGCTCTGGGTGTTAATATATGACAGTGCAGCAGCATCATTTGGGGAAAAGCAGAAATGTTATTCTTAAAGGAGAAGTTTATTTGGCCTGGCTTAAGGCAAGATGATGATGTATACTAATGAGAATGACCAATCTTGTGATCTTTTAATACCACTCTATCTGTATCCTGGAGCAAGTTACAAAACATCTCAGAACATTCTGAACATTATATTCCTGATCTTTAGAAAAGAAATAATACTACCTGATATTAATAATACTTATCTTGTAGTTTGCTGTTAGCCTTAGAATCAAAACATGAAGTCATTTGTACTTTACAAAAGCCAAATCTAAAAATAGCATTAATTTCTAATGTAATCATTATCATTATTCATTTTGGATTTGTGTAGTCTTGTATATTTCATAAATTATATCATTAACTTCTGTCACTTTCCACATGGCAAATATAAAATGTTTCCTCATTTTCAAAAAGTCATGTTTTAGTTGTGTCTTTTTTCTATTTCATTTTCTTTTAAAGAAAAAAGTAATGTTACACTGATTCATTTTAATTCTCTGTGAAACATTATCTGAAATTGCCTTTTCAGGGAAGGTTCAGTCTGTACTTTTTTTTCTGGTATTAGATTTAAGCAAGGAATACACTTTTCCTAAAATCATCATGCTTCTAGAAATTTGATCCTAAGTAATCTTCTGAAAAAAAAAATCCTAAGTAAAAACATACTATTTTAAAAATCAAGAGATGTGCCAATACTCAGAGTGGCTAAAATACCAAGTGAAATCATCCCCTCTGGCCAGATTTTTTTTTTTAGTACATCATTATCTCTGTAAGTTCTTTTTAGACGAGAGAGAGAGAGAGAGAGGAGAGAGACCCTTGAGAAAGTTCTGTTTCTTTCATGTTTTATCTTGGATGCCACCAGCCCCCTTTCTGGAAGTGTGCTAGACCTCTTTGATGAAGACGCTGTAAAATAGTGCTGATTGTGGTTGCTGCTACTGATGCCTTCTGCTGCCCTGGTTGAACTTGGCTGAGCTATGCCAGCCTCAGGAGCAGCAGGTGCATTTCTCTTGAGCCTATGATCATAGACTTCTTATAACCTACAATGACCAGAGATGCTAAGTTGGCCTGGCCTTACTTTGTTTTGCTCACCCAAGGAAGAAGGAGTATTATGAAGAATCAAAGCCAACAAAATGACCAATGTGCTCCACAATATTTATAAACTGACACCCATTCACTCACCTACATTGGTTCCATTCTTCCTGTCCATTGTTCTGAAGAATAAAAACAATCTCTCTCTACCTAATATATATTTAAAAAAATACTAAGAGTAAAGAATTAATGAGTGCCTGCAATGTATCTGACACTCTTAAGTATTTTACAGCCAGGCACAGTAGCTAACTTACGCAGTCCCAACACCTGGGAGGCTGAGGTGAGTGAATCGCATGAGCCCAGGAGTTCAAAACCAGCCTGGGCAAAGTGGTGAATCCCTGTCTCTAAGGGTGAAAAATAAACAAATAAAAACAGCTGAGCATGGTGGTATGTGCCTGTGGTCCCAACTACTCCAGAGGCTGAGATGTAAGAACCCATTGAACTCAGAAGGTCAAGTCACTGTTGGAGTGAGTCCTGTTCGAGTCACTTCACTCTAGCCTGGGTGACAGACTGAGACCCTGTCTTAATGTAAAAAATAAAAATAAAAAATTAAAAAAAGGATTTTACATGTATACTTCCTATAATTCTCACAACAACCTTGCAATGGAAGTGTCACTGTTGTTCCCGTATTACAGATGACAAAAATAAGTAGCTTATTTAATGCCAAATAACTATTAAAGTGATTTTTACATAATAGATATATAAAAATGAAGGATTTGTTATATACTTGTAGGAAATGCCTAGGTTTGCAAGGTTCATGCTGATGGCATAATAAATTCTATACATTTTTGACATGGTTTGGCTGTGTCTCCACCCAAATCTCAAATTGTAACTCCCATAATTCCCACGTGTCATGGGAGGGACCCAGTGAAAGATAATTGAATCATGAGAGTGGGTCTTTCCCATGCTGTTCTCATGATAGTGAATAAGTCTAATGAGATCCAATGGTTTTATAAAGAGCTGTTTTCCTGTGCATGCTCTCTCTCTTGCCTCTGCCATGTAAGATGTGACTTTTGCTTTCTGCCATAATTGTGAGGCCCCCCCAGCCATGTGGAACTGTGAGTCCATTAAACCTCTTTTCCTTTATAAATTACCCAGTCTCGGTTATGTGTTTATTAGCAGTGTGAGAACAGAGTAATACAGTAAATTGGTACCAGGAGTAGGGCACTGCTGTAACAATACCCAAAAATGTGGAAGCGACTTTGGAACTGGGCAACAGGCAGAGGTTGGAACTGTTTGGAAGGCTCAGAAGAAGATAGGCAAGTGTAGGAAAGTTTGGCACTTCCTAGAGACTTGGAGGGCTCAGAAGACGGGAAGATGTGGGAAAGTTTGGAACTTCCTAGAGACTTATTGAATGGCTTTGACCAAAATGCTGGTAGTGATATGGACAATAAGGTACAGTTGAGGTGGTTTCAGATGCAGATGAGGAACTTGTTGGGAATTGAAGTAAAGGTCACTCTTGCTATGTAAAGAGACTGGCAGCATTTTGCCCCTGCCATAGAGATCTGTAGAACTTTGAAGTTGAGAGAGATGATTTAGGGTATCTGGAGGAAGAAATTTCTAAGCGACAAGGCATTCAAAAGGAAGCAGAGCATGAAAGTTTGCAGCCTGACAATGGAATATAAAATAAAAACTCATTTTCTGAGTAGAAATTCAAGCTGGCTTCAGAAATATGCATAAGTAACAAGGAGATGAATGTTAATCACTAAGACAATGGGGAAAATGTCTCCAGGGCATGTTAGAGACTTTCGCGGCAGACCCTCCCATCACAGGACTGGAGCCCTAGGAGGGAAAAATCGTTTAGCAGGCTGAATCCAGGGACGCCCTGCTGTGTGCAGCATCCCAGGCACTCCAGCCTGAGCTAAAAGGGACAAAAGTACAGCTTGGGCTATTGCTTCAGAGGGCACAAGCCCCAAGCCTTGGCAGCTTCCATGTGGTGTTGAGCATGCAAAAGTCAAGAATTGAGGTTTAGGAACCTCAGAGGTGTGCTGCAGGGATGGAATCCTCATGAAGAAGCTCTGCTGTGGCAGTATGGAAGGGAAATGTGGGGTCAGAGCCCCACACAGAGTACCTACTGGGGCATTGCATAGTGGAGCAGTGAGATGAGGGCCACTGTCCTCCAGACTCCAGAGTGGTAGATCCACCGACTGCTTCCACTGTGCACCTGGAAAAGCTGAAGACAGTCAATGGCAGCTTGTGAAAGCAGCCAGGAGGGAGGCTGTACACCGCAAAGACACAGGAGTGGAGCTGCCCAAGTCTTTGGGAACCCACCTCTTGTATCAGCGTGATCTGGACTTGAGACATGGAGTAAAAGGAGACATTTTGGAGCTTTAAGATTTAACTGCCCCGCCAGATTTCAAACTTTAGCCCCTTAATTTTGGCCAATTTCTCCCATTTGGAATGGGTGTTTTTATCTAATGCCTGTTCCCCCATTGTATCTAGGAAGTAAGTAACTTGCTTTTGATTTTATAGGCTCATAGGTGGAAAGGACTTGCCTTGTCTCAGATGAGACTTTGGACTGTGGACTTTTGAGTTAATGCTGAAATGAGTTAAGATTTTGGGGGACTGTTGGGGAAGCATGATTGGTTTTGAAATGTGAGGACATGAGATTTGGGAGGGGCCAGGGAAAAATATGGTTTGGCTGTGTCCCCACCTGAATCTCAAATTGTAGCTTCCATAATTCCCACATGTCATCGGAGAGACTTGGTGGGAGGTAATTGAATCAGAGTGCAGTTCTTTCTCATGCTGTTCTTGTGAGAGTGAGTAAGCCTCAGGAGATCTGATGGTTTTATGAAAGGGAGTTCCCCTGCATATGCGCTGTCTCTTGCCTGCTGCCATGTGAGAGGTGCCTTTCATCTTCCACCATGATTGTGAGGCCTGTCCAGCCATGTGGAACTGTGAGTCCATTAAACCTCTTTTTCTTTATAAATTACCCTGGCTTAGGTATGTCTTTATTAGCAGTATGAGAAAAAGCTAATATAATTTTAATCCCCAAAATGACTACTGTAATAGTATATTGAAGTGCATGTTCATTTTTGGTGACAAAGAACAATATGCCAAATAAACCAAAAATTATTTAATTTCCTTCCTGCCAGGATGGTGCATTTCAAGTTCTGACGGACATTCTAATAACTTAGGATCTTGTTAAAATACAGAATCTACTTCAGCTCTTCTGCAGTAGTTCCTGAGATTATGCATTTCTGATGATCTCACAGATGCTGCTGCTCTGCAGACTACTTTTGTATAGCAAGCCTTAGTATATCTTTGGGTACAACTTTAATACTTGGTTCTGTATTTCAATGAAATCCTTGTGCTATAATATGAAAATACATTTAGT